>NC_000016.10:36337666-36503526 GCF_000001405.40 Homo sapiens
CTCGTTCCCAGACACTGCGTAGTGATGTGTGTGTTTAACTCACAGAGTTTCACCTTTCTTTTCATACAGCATTCTGGAAACCCTGTGTTTGTAAAGTCTGCAAGTGGATATTTGGACCTCTTAGATGCCTTCGTTGGAAACGGGATTTCTTCATATAATGCTAGAGGGAAGAATTCTTAGTAACTTCTTTGTGTTGTGTGTATTCAACTGACAGAGTTGAACCTTCCTTTAGACAGAGCAGATTTGATAGTCTCTTTTTGTGGAATTTGCAAGTGGAGATTTCAAGCGCTTTGAGGCCAAAAGCAGAAAAGGAAATATTTTCCTATAAAAACTCGACAGAATCTTTCTCAGAAACTGCTCTGGGATGTGTGCGTTCAACTCACAGAGTTTAACTTTTCTTTCCATTCAGCAGTTTGGAAACACTCTGTTTGGAAAGTCTGCACGTGGATATTTTGACCTCTTTGAGGCCTTCGTTGGAAACGGGTTTTTTTGCATGTAATGCTAGACAGAAGAAATCTCAGTAACTTCCTTGTGTTGTGGGTATTCAACAGACGGAGATGAACCTTCCTTTAGACAGAGCAGATTCGAGACACTCTTATTCTGCAATTTGTAAGTGGAGACTTCAAGCGCTTTGAGGCCAAAGGCAGAAAAGGAAATATCTTCGTATAAAAACCAGACAGAATCATTCTCAGAAACTGCTCTGTGATGTGTGCGTTCAACTCACAGAGTTTAACTTTTCTTTTCATTCAGCAGTTTGGAAACACTCTGTTTATAAAGTCTGCAAGTGGATATATTGGCATCTTAGAGGCCTTCGTTGGAAACGGGTTTTTATCATGTAAGGTTATTCAGAGGAATTCCCAGTAACTTCCTTGTGTTGTGTGCATTCAACTCACAGAGTTGAATGATTCTTTACACAGAGCAGATTTGAGACACTGTTGGTGGAATTTGTAAGTGGAGAATTCAGCCGCTTTGAGGTCAACGGTAGAAAAGGAAATATCTTCGTATAAAAACTAGACAGAATGATTCTCAGAAACTGTTTTGTGATGTGTGCTTTCAACTCACAGAGTTTAACCTTTCTTTTCAAAGAGCAGTTAGGAAACACTCTGTTTGTAAAGTCTGCAAGTGGATATTCAGACCTCTTTGAGGCCTTCCTTGGAAACGGGATTTCTTCATATTATGCTAGACAGAAGAATTCTCAGTAACTTCCTTGTGTTGTGTGCTTTCAACTCACAGAGTTGAACGATCCTTTACACAGAGCAGATTAGAAACACTCTTTTTGTGGAATTTGCAAGTGGAGATTTCAGCCGCTTTGAGGTCAATGGTAGAAAAGGAAATATCTTCGTATAAAAACTAGACAGAATGATTCTCAGAAACTCCTTTGTGATGTGTGCGTTCAACTCACAGAGTTTAACCTTTCTTTTCACAGAGCAGTTAGGAAACACTCTGTTTGTGAAGTCTGCCAGTGGATATTCGGACCTCTTTGAGGCCTTCGTTGGAAACGGGATTTCTTCATATTATTCTAGACAGAAGATTTCTGAGTAACTACTTTTTGTCGTGTGTATGCAACTCACAGAGTTCAACCTTCCTTTAGACAGAGCAGATTTGAAACAGTCTTTTTGTGGAATTTGCTTGTGGAGATTTAAGGCCCTTCGATGCCAATGGTAGAAAAGGATATATCTTCGTATAAAAACAAGACAAAATCATTCCCAGAAACTGCGTAGTGATGTGTGTGTTTAACTCACAGAGTTTAACCTTTCTTTTCATACAGCATTCTGGAAACCCTCTGTTTGTAAAGTCTGCAAGTGGATATTTGGATCTCTTAGATGCCTTCGTTGGAAACGGGATTTCTTCATATAATGCTAGAGGGAAGAATTCTCAGTAACTTCTTTGTCTTGTGTGTATTCAACTGACAGAGTTGAACCTTCCTTTAGACAGAGCAGATTTGAAAGTCTCTTTTTGTGGAATTTGCAAGTGGAGATTTCAAGCGCTTTGAGGCCAAAAGCAGAAAAGGAAATATTTTCCTATAAAAACCAGACAGAATCATTCTCAGAAACTGCTCTGTGATGTGTGCGTTCAACTCACAGAGTTTAACTTTTCTTTTCATTCAGCAGTTTGGAAACACTCTGTTTGGAAAGTCTGCACGTGGATATTTTGACCTCTTTGAGGCCTTCGTTGGAAACGCGTTTTTATCATGTAAGGCTAGACAGAAGAAATCTCAGTAACTTCCCTTGTGTTGTGGGTATTCAACAGACGGAGATGAACCTTCCTTTAGACAGAGCAGATTCGAGACACTCTTATTCTGCAATTTGTAAGTGGAGACTTCAAGCGCTTTGAGGCCAAAGGCAGAAAAGGAAATATCTTCGTATAAAAACCAGACAGAATCATTCTCAGAAACTGCTCTGTGATGTGTGCGTTCAACTCACAGAGTTTAACTTTTCTTTTCATTCAGCAGTTTGGAAACACTCTGTAAAGTCTGCAAGTGGATATCTTGGCCTCTTAGAGGCCTTCGTTGGAAGCGGGTTTTTTCATGTAAGGTTAGACAGAGGAATTCCCAGTAACTTCCTTGTGTTGTGTGCATTCAACTCACAGAGTTGAATGATACTTTACACAGAGCAGATTTGAGACACTCTTTGGGTGGAATTTGTAAGTGGAGAATTCAGCCGCTTTGAGGTCAACGGTAGAAAAGGAAATACCTTCGTATAAAAACTAGACAGAATGATTCTCAGAAACTGTTTTGTGATGTGTGCGTTCAACTCACAGAGTTTAACCTTTCTTTTCAAAGAGCAGTTAGGAAACACTCTGTTTGTAAAGTCTGCAAGAGGATATTCAGACCTCTTTGAGGCCTTCGTTGGAAACGGGATTTCTTCATATTATGCTAGACAGATGAATTCTCAGTAACTTCCTTGTGTTGTGTGTATTCAACTCACAGAGTTGAACGATCCTTTACACAGAGCAGATTTGAAACACTGTTTTTCTGGAATTTGCAAGTGGAGATTTCAGCCGCTTTGAGGTCAATGGTAGAAAAGGAAATATCTTCGTATAAAAACTAGACAGAATGATTCTCAGAAACTCCTTTGTGATGTGTGCGTTCAACTCACAGAGTTTAACCTTTCTTTTCACAGAGCAGTTAGGAAACACTCTGTTTGTGAAGCCTGCCAGTGGATATTCGGACCTCTTTGAGGCCTTCGTTGGAAACGGGATTTCTTCATATTATGCTATTCAGAAGATTTCTCAGTAACTTCTTTGTGTTGTGTGTATACAACTCACAGAGTTCAACCTTCCTTTAGACAGAGCAGATTTGAAACACTCTTTTTGTGGAATTTGCAAGTGGAAATTTCAAGCGCATCGATGCCAATGGTAGAAAAGGAAATATACTTCGTATAAAAACAAGACAAACTCGTTCCCAGACACTGCGTAGTGATGTGTGTGTTTAACTCACAGAGTTTAACCTTTCTTTTCATACACCATTCTGGAAACCCTGTGTTTGTAAAGTCTGCAAGTGGATATTTGGACCTCTTAGATGCCTTCGTTGGAAACGGGATTTCTTCATATAATGCTAGAGGGAAGAATTCTTAGTAACTTCTTTGTGTTGTGTGTATTCAACTGACAGAGTTGAACCTTCCTTTAGACAGAGCAGATTTGAAAGTCTCTTTCTGTGGAATTTGCACGTGGAGATTTCAAGCGCTTTGAGGCCAAAAGCAGAAAAGGAAATATTTTCCTATAAAAACTCGACAGAATCATTCTCAGAAACTGCTCTGTGATGTGTGCGTTCAACTCACAGAGTTTAACTTTTCTTTTCATTCAACAGTTTGGAAACAATCTGTTTGTAAAGTCTGCCGTGGATATTTTGACCTCTTTGAGGCCTTCGTTGGAAATGGGTTTTTTTCATGTAAGGCTAGACAGAGAGGAATCTCTGTAACTTCCTTCTGTTGTGTGTATTCAACTGACAGAGTTGAACCTTCCTTTAGACAGAGCAGATTCGAAGCACTCTTTTTCTGCAATTTGCAAGTGGAGACTTCAAGCGCTTTGAGGCCAAAGGCAGAAAAGGAAATATCTTCGTATAAAAACCCGACAGATCATCCTCAGAAACTGCTCTGTGATGTGTGCGTTCAACTCACAGAGTTTAACTTTTCTTTTCATTCAGCAGTTTGGAAACACTCTGTTTGTAAAGTCTGCAAGTGGATATCTTGGCCTCTTAGAGGCCTTCGTTGGAAACGGGTTTTTTCATGTAAGGTTAGACAGAGGAATTCCCAGTAACTTCCTTGTGTTGTGTGGATTCAACACACAGATTTGAATGATTCTTTACACAGAGCAGATTTGAGACACTCTTTTGGTGGAATTTGTAAGTGGAGAATTCAGCCGCTTTGAGGTCAATGGTAGAAAAGGAAATATCTTCGTATAAAAACTAGACAGAATCATTCCCACAAACTGCGTTGTGATGTGTGACTTCAACTCACAGAGTTTAACCTTTCTTTTCATAGAGCCGTTTGTAAGCGCTCTGTTTGTCAAGTCTGCAAGTGGATATTCTGACCTCTTTGAGGACTTCGTTGGAAACAGGATTTCGTCCTGTAATACTAGACAGATGAATTCTCAGTAACTTCCTTGTGTTGTGTGTATTCAACTCACAGAGTTGAACGATCCTTTACACAGAGCAGATTTGAAACACTGTTTTTCTGGAATTTGCAAGTGGAGATTTCAGCCGCTTTGAGGTCAATGGTAGAAAAGGAAATATCTTCGTATAAAAACTAGACAGAATGATTCTCAGAAACTGTTTTGTGATGTGTGTGTTCAACTCACAGAGTTTAACCTTTCTTTTCATAGAGCAGTTAGGAAACACACTGTTTGTGAAGCCTGCCAGTGGATATTCGGACCTCTTTGAGGCCTTCGTTGGAAACGGGATTTCTTCATATTATGCTAGACAGAAGATTTCTCAGTAACTTCTTTGTGTTGTGTGTATGCAACTCACAGAGTTCAACCTTCCTTTACACAGAGTAGATTTGAAGCACTCTTTTTGTGGAATTTGCAAGTGGAGATTTCAAGCGCTTCAATGCCAATGGTAGAAAAGGAAATATCTTCGTATAAAAAGAAGACAAACTCGTTCCCAGACACTGCGTAGTGATGTGTGTGTTTAACTCACAGAGTTTAACCTTTCTTTTCATACAGCATTCTGGAAACCCTCTGTTTGTAAAGTCTGCAAGTGGATATTTGGACCTCTTAGATGCCTTCGTTGGGAACGGGATTTCTTCATATAATGCTAGAGGGAAGAATTCTTAGTAACTTCTTTGTGTTGTGTGTATTCAACTGACAGAGTTGAACCTTCCTTTAGACAGAGCAGATTTGAAAGTCTCTTTTTGTGGAATTTGCAAGTGGAGATTTCAAGCGCTTTGAGGCCAAAAGCAGAAAAGGAAATATTTTCCTATAAAAACTAGACAGAATCTTTCCCAGAATCTGTGTAGTGATCTGTTTGTTTAACTCACAGAGTTTAACCTTTCTTATCATACAGCATTCTGGAAACCCTCAGTTTGTAAAGTCTGCAAGTGGATATTTGGACCTCTTAGATGCCTTCGTTGGAAACGGGATTTCTTCATATAATGCTAGAGGGAAGAATTCTTAGTAACTTCTTTGTGTTGTGTGTATTCAACTGACAGAGTTGAACCTTCCTTTAGACAGAGCAGATTTGAAACACTCTTTTTGTGGAATTTCCAAGTGGAGACTTCAAGCGCTTTGAGGTCAAAGGCAGAAAAGTTATTATCTTTGTATAAAAACCAGACAGAATCATTCTCAGAAACTGCTCTGTGAAGTGTGCGTTCAACTCACAGAGTTTAACTTTTCTTTTCATTCAGCAGTTTGGAAACACTCTGTTTGTAAAGTCTGCAAGTGGATATATTGGCTTCTTAGAGGCCTTCGTTGGAAACGGGTTTTTTTCCTGTAAGGTTAGACAGAGGAATTCCCAGTAACTTCCTTGTGTTGTGTGCATTCAACTCACAGAGTTGAATGATTCTTTACACAGAGCAGATTTGAGACACTCTTTGGGTGGAATTTGTAAGTGGAGAATTCAGCCGCTTTGAGGTCAACGGTAGAAAAGGAAATACCTTCGTATAAAAACTAGACAGAATGATTCTCAGAAACTGTTTTGTGATGTGTGCGTTCAACTCACAGAGTTTAACCTTTCTTTTCAAAGAGCAGTTAGGAAACACTCTGTTTGTAAAGTCTGCAAGTGGATATTCAGACCTACTTTGAGGCCTTCGTTGGAAACGGGATTTCTTCATATTATGCTAGACAGATGAATTCTCAGTAACTTCCTTGTGTTGTGTGTATTCAACTCACAGAGTTGAACGATCCTTTACACAGAGCAGATTTGAAACACTGTTTTTCTGGAATTTGCAAGTGGAGATTTCAGCCGCTTTGAGGTCAATGGTAGAAAAAGAAATATCTTCGTATAAAAACTAGACAGAATGATTCTCAGAAACTCCTTTGTGATGTGTGCGTTCAACTCACAGAGTTTAACCTTTCTTTTCACAGAGCAGTTAGGAAACACTCTGTTTGTGAAGCCTGCCAGTGGATATTCGGACCTCTTTGAGGCCTTCTTTGGAAACGGGATTTCTTCATATTATGCTAGACAGATTTCTCAGTAACTACTTTGTGTTGTGTGTATGCAACTCAAAGAGTTCATCCTTCCCTTAGACAGAGCAGATTTGAAACACTCTTTTTGTGGAATTTGCAAGTGGAGATTTCAAGCGCTTCGACGCCAATGGTCGAAAAGGAAATATCTTCGTATAAAAACAAGACAAACTCGTTCCCAGACACTGCGTAGTGATGTGTGTGTTTAACTCACAGAGTTTCACCTTTCTTTTCATACAGCATTCTGGAAACCCTCTGTTTGTAAAGTCTGCAAGTGGATATTTGGACCTCTTAGATGCCTTCGTTGGAAACGGGATTTCTTCATATAATGCTAGAGGGAAGAATTCTTAGTAACTTCTTTGTGTTGTGTGTATTCAACTGACAGAGTTGAACCTTCCTTTAGACAGAGCAGATTTGAAAGTCTCTTTTTGTGGAATTTGCAAGTGGAGATTTCAAGCGCTTTGAGGCCAAAAGCAGAAAAGGAAATATTTTCCTATAAAAACTAGACAGAATCATTCTCAGAAACTGCTCTGTGATGTGTGCGTTCAACTCACAGAGTTTAACTTTTCTTTTCATTCAGCAGTTTGGAAACACTCTGTTTGGAAAGTCTGCACGTGGATATTTTGACCTCTTTGAGGCCTTCGTTGGAAACGGGTTTTTATCATGTAAGGCTAGACAGAGGAAATCTCTGTAACTTCCTTGTGTTGTGTGTATTCAACTGACAGAGTTGAACCTTCCTTTAGACAGAGCAGATTCGAAGCACTCTTTTTCTGCAATTTGCAAGTGGAGACTTCAAGCGCTTTGAGGCCAAAGGCAGAAAAGGAAATATCTTCGTATAAAAACCCGACAGAATCATTCTCAGAAACTGCTCTGTGATGTGTGCGTTCAACTCTCAGAGTTTAACTTTTCTTTTCATTCAGCAGTTTGGAAACACTCTGTTTGTAAAGTCTGCAAGTGGATATATTGGCCTCTTTGAGGCCTTCGTTGGAAACGGTTTTTTTCTCATGTAAGGTTAGACAGAGGAATTCCCAGTAACTTCCTTGTGTTGTGTGCATTCAACTCACAGAGTTGAATGATTCTTTACACAGAGCAGATTTGAGACACTCTTTTGGTGGAATTTGTAAGTGGAGAATTCAGCCGCTTTGAGGTCAACGGTAGAAAAGGAAATATCTTCGTATAAAAACTAGGCAGAATGATTCTCAGAAACTGTTTTGTGATGTGTGCGTTCAACTCACAGAGTTTAACCTTTCTTTTCAAAGAGCAGCTAGGAAACACTCTGTTTGTAAAGTCTGCAAGTGGATATTCAGACCTCTTTGAGGCCTTCGTTGGAAACGGGATTTCTTCATATTATGCTAGACAGATGAATTCTCAGTAACTTCCTTGTGTTGTGTGTATTCAACTCACAGAGTTGAACGATCCTTTACACAGAGCAGATTTGAAACACTGTTTTTCTGGAATTTGCAAGTGGAGATTTCAGCCGCTTTGAGGTCAATGGTAGAAAAGGAAATATCTTCGTATAAAAACTAGACAGAATGATTCTCAGAAACTCCTTTGTGATGTGTGCGTCCAACTCGCAGAGTTTAACCTTTCTTTTCATAGAGCAGTTAGGAAACACTCTGTTTGTGAAGTCTGCCAGTGGATATTCGCACCTATTTAAAGCCTTCGTTGGAAACGGGATTTCTTCATCTTATTGGTAGACAGATTTCTCAGTAACTACTTTGTGTTGTGTGTATGCAACTCACAGAGTTCATCCTTCCTTTAGACAGAGCAGATTTGAAACACTCTTTATGTGGAATTTGCAAGTGGAGATTTCAAGCGCTTCGACGCCAATGGTCGAAAAGGAAATATCTTCGTATAAAAACAAGACAAACTCGTTCCCAGACACTGCGTAGTGATGTGTGTGTTTAACTCACAGAGTTTAACCTTTCTTTTCATACAGCATTCTGGAAACCCTGTGTTTGTAAAGTCTGCAAGTGGATATTTGGACCTCTTAGATGCCTTCGTTGGAAACAGGATTTCTTCATATAATGCTAGAGGGAAGAATTCTTAGTAACTACTTTGTGTTGTGTGTATTCAACTGACAGAGTTGAACCTTCCTTTAGACAGAGCAGATTTGAAAGTCTCTTTTTGTGGAATTTGCAAGTGGAGATTTCAAGCGCTTTGAGGCCAAAAGCAGAAAAGGAAATATTTTCCTATAAAAACTAGAGAGAATCATTCTCAGAAACTGCTCTGTGATGTGTGTGTTCAACTCACAGAGTTTAACTTTCTTTTCATTCAGCAGTTTGGAAACACTCTGTTTGGAAAGTCTGCACGTGGATATTTTGACCTCTTTGAGGCCTTCGTTGGAAACGGGTTTTTTTCATGTAAGGCTAGACAGAAGAAATCTCAGTAACTTCCTTGTGTTGTGTGTATTTAACTGACAGAGTTGAACCTTCCTTTAGACAGAGCAGATTCGAAACGCTCTTTTTCTGCAATTTGCAAGTGGAGACTTCAAACGATTTGAGGCCAAGGCAGAAAAGGAAATATCTTCGTATAAAAACCCGACAGAATCATTCTCAGAAACTGCTCTGTGATGTGTGCGTTCAACTCACAGAGTTTAACTTTTCTTTTCATTCAGCAGTTTGGAAACACTCTGTTTGTAAAGTCTGCAAGTGGATATCTTGGCCTCTTAGAGGCCTTCGTTGGAAACGCGTTTTTTCATGTAAGGTTAGACAGAGGAATTCCCAGTAACTTCCTTGTGTTGTGTGCATTCAACTCACAGAGTTGAATGATTCTTTACACAGAGCAGA
Organism: Homo sapiens; assembly: GCF_000001405.40. Classification (NCBI taxonomy): domain Eukaryota; kingdom Metazoa; phylum Chordata; class Mammalia; order Primates; family Hominidae; genus Homo; species Homo sapiens. The sequence goes on from NC_000016.10 coordinate 36,347,077, forward strand.
TTTGAGACACTCTTTTGGTGGAATTTGTAAGTGGAGAATTCAGCCGCTTTGAGGTCAACGGTAGAAAAGGAAATATCTTCGTATAAAAACTAGAAAGAATGATTCTCAGAAACTGTTTTGTGATGTGTGCGTTCAACTCACAGAGTTTAACCTTTCTTTTCAAAGAGCAGTTAGGAAACACTCTGTTTGTGAAGTCTGCCAGTGGATATTCGGACCTCTTTGAGGCCTTCCTTGGAAACGGGATTTCTTCATATTATGCTAGACAGATTTCTCAGTAACTACTTTGTGTTATGTGTATGCAACTCACAGAGTTCATCCTTCCTTTAGACAGAGCAGATTTGAAACACTCTTTTTGTGGAATTTGCAAGTGGAGATTTCAAGCGCTTCGACGCCAATGGTCGAAAAGGAAATATCTTCGTATAAAAACAAGACAAAATCATTCCCAGAAACTGCGTAGTGATGTGTGTGTTTAACTCACAGAGTTTCACCTTTCTTTTCATACAGAATTCTGGAAACCCTCTGTTTGTAAAGTCTGCAAGTGTATATTTGGACCTCTTAGATGCCTTCGTTGGAAACGGGATTTCGTCATATAATGGTAGAGGGAAGAATTCTCAGTAACTTCTTTGTGTTGTCTGTATTCAACTGACAGAGTTGAACCTTCCTTTAGACAGAGCAGATTTGAAAGTCTCTTTTTGTGGAATTTGCAAGTGGAGATTTCAAGCGCTTTGAGGCCAAAAGCAGAAAAGGAAATATTTTCCTATAAAAACTAGACAGAATCATTCTCAGAAACTGCTCTGTGATGTGTGCGTTCAACTCACAGAGTTTAACTTTTCTTTTCATCCAGCAGTTTGGAAACACTCTGTTTGGAAAGTCTGCACGTGGATATTTTGACCTCTTTGAGGCCTTCGTTGGAAACGGGTTTTTTTCATGTAAGGCTAGACAGAAGAAATCTCAGTAACTTCCTTGTGTTCTGTGTATTCAACTGACAGAGTTGAACCTTCCTTTAGACAGAGCAGATTCGAAACACTCTTTTTCTGCAATTTGCAAGTGGAGACTTCAAGCGCTTTGAGGCCAAAGGCAGAAAAGGAAATATCTTCGTATAAAAACCCGACAGAATAATTCTCAGAAACTGCTCTGTGATGTGTGCGTTCAACTCACAGAGTTTAACTTTTCTTTTCATTCAGCAGTTTGGAAATGCTCTGTTTGTAAAGTCTGCAAGTGGATATATTGGCCTCTTTGAGGCCTTCGTTGGAAACGGGTTTTTTTCATGTAAGGCTAGACAGAGGAATTCCCAGTAACTTCCTTGTGTTGTGTGCATTCAACTCACAGAGTTGAATGATTCTTTACACAGAGCAGATTTGGACACTCTTTTGGTGGAATTTGTAACTGGAGAAATCAGCAGCTTTGAGGTCAATGTTAGAAAAGGAAATATCTTCGTATAAAAACTAGACAGAATGATTCTCAGAAACTGTTTTGTGATGTGTGCGTTCAACTCACAGAGTTTAACCTTTCTTTTCAAAGAGCAGTTAGGAAACACTCTGTTTGTAAAGTCTGCAAGTGGATATTCAGACCTCTTTGAGGCCTTCGTTGGAAACGGGATTTCTTCATATTATGCTAGACAGATGAATTCTCAGTAACTTCCTTGTGTTGTGTGTATTCAACTCACAGAGTTGAACGATCCTTTACACAGAGCAGATTTGAAACACTGTTTTTCTGGAATTTGCAAGTGGAGATTTCAGCCGCTTTGAGGTCAATGGTAGAAAAGGAAATATCTTCGTATAAAAACTAGACAGAATGATTCTCAGAAACTCCTTTGGGATGTGTGCGTTCAACTCACAGAGTTTAACCTTTCTTTTCACAGAGCAGTTAGGAAACACTCTGTTTGTGAAGCCTGCCAGTGGATATTCGGACCTCTTTGAGGCCTTCGTTGGAAACGGGATTTCTTCATATTTTGCTAGACAGAAGATTTCTCAGTAACTTCTTTGTGTTGTGTGTATGCAACTCACAGAGTTCAACCTTCCTTTAGACAGAGCAGATTTGAAACACTCTTTTTGTGGAATTTGCAAGTGGAGATTTCAAGCGCTTCGATGCCAATGGTAGAAAAGGAAATATCTTCGTATAAAAACAAGACAAAATCATTCCCAGAAACTGCGTAGTGATGTGTGTGTTTAACTCACAGAGTTTAACCTTTCTTTTCATACAGCATTCTGGAAACCCTCTGTTTGTAAAGTCTGCAAGTGGATATTTGGACCTCTTAGATGCCTTCGTTGGAAACGGGATTTCTTCATATAATGCTAGAGGGAAGAATTCTTAGTAACTTCTTTGTGTTGTGTGTATTCAACTGACAGAGTTGAACCTTCCTTTAGACAGAGCAGATTTGAAAGTCTCTTTTTATGGAATTTGCAAGTGGAGATTTCAAGCGCTTTGAGGCCAAAAGCAGAAAAGGAAATATTTTCCTATAAAAACTAGACAGAATCATTCTCAGAAACTGCTCTGTGATGTGTGCGTTCAACTCACAGAGTTTAACTTTTCTTTTCATTCAGCAGTTTGGAAAAACTCTGTTTGTAAAGTCTGCCTTGGATATTTTGACCTCTTTGAGGCCTTCGTTGGAAACGGGTTTTTTTCATGTAAGTCTAGACAGAGGAAATCTCTGTAACTTCCTTCTGTTGTGTGTATTCAACTGACAGAGTTGAACCTTCCTTTAGACAGAGCAGATTCGAAGCACTCTTTTTCTGCAATTTGCAAGTGGAGACTTCAAGCGCTTTGAGGCCAAAGGCAGAAAAGGAAATATCTTCGTATAAAAACCCGACAGAATCATTCTCAGAAACTGCTCTGTGATGTGTGCGTTCAACTCACAGAGTTTAACTTTTCTTTTCATTCAGCAGTTTGGAAACACTCTCTTTGTAAAGTCTGCAAGGGGATATATTGGCCTCTTAGAGGCCTTCGTGGGAAACGGGATTTTTCATGTAAGGTTAGACAGAGGAATTCCCAGTAACTTCCTTGTGTTGTGTGCATTCAACTCACAGAGTTGAATGATTCTTTACACAGAGCAGATTTGAGACACTCTTTTGGTGGAATTTGTAAGTGGAGAATTCAGCCGCTTTGAGGTCAACGGTAGAAAAGGATATATCTTCGTATAAAAACTAGACAGAATGATTCTCAGAAACTGTTTTGTGATGTGTGCGTTCAACTCACAGAGTTTAACCTTTCTTTTCAAAGAGCAGTTAGGAAACACTCTGTTTGTAAAGTCTGCAAGTGGATATTCAGACCTCTTTGAGGCCTTCGTTGGAAACGGGATTTCTTCATATTATGCTAGACAGAAGAATTCTCAGTAACTTCCTTGTGTTGTGTGTATTCAACTCACAGAGTTGAACGATCCTTTACACGGAGCAGATTTGAAACACTCTTTTTCTGGAATTTGCAAGTGGAGATTTCAGCCGCTTTGAGGTCAATGGTAGAAAAGGTAATATCTTCGTATAAAAACTAGAGAGAATAATTCTCAGAAACTCCTTTGTGATGTGTGCGTTCAACTCACAGAGTTTAACCTTTCTTTTCACAGACCAGTTAGGAAACACTCTGTTTGTGAAGTCTGCCAGTGGATATTAGTACCTCTTTGAGGCCTTCGTTGGAAACGGGATTTCTTCATATTATGCTAGACAGAAGATTTCTCAGTAACTACTTTGTGTTGTGTGTATGCAACTCACAGACTTCAACCTTATTTTAGACAGAGCAGATTTGAAACACTCTTTTTGTGCAATTTGCAAGTGGAGATTTCAAGCGCTTTGATGCCAATGGTAGAAAAGGATATATCTTCGTATAAAAACAAGACAAAATCTTTCCCAGAATCTGTGTAGTGATCTGTTTGTTTAACTCACAGAGTTTAACCTTTCTTATCATACAGCATTCTGGAAACCCTCAGTTTGTAAAGTCTGCAAGTGGATATTTGGACCTCTTAGATGCCTTCGTTGGAAACGGTTTTTCTTCATATAATGCTAGAGGGAAGAATTCTTAATAACTTCTTTGTGTTGTGTGTATTCAACTGACAGAGTTGAACCTTCCTTTAGACAGAGCAGATTTGAAAGTCTCTTTTTGTGGAATTTGCAAGTGGAGATTTCAAGCGCTTTGAGGCCAAAAGCAGAAAAGGAAATATTTTCCTATAAAAACTAGACAGAATCATTCTCAGAAACTGCTCTGTGATGTGTGTGTTCAACTCACAGAGTTTAACTTTCTTTTCATTCAGCAGTTTGGAAACACTCTGTTTGGAAAGTCTGCACGTGGATATTTTGACCTCTTTGAGGCCTTCGTTGGAAACGGGTTTTTTTCATGTAAGGCTAGACAGAAGAAATCTCAGTAACTTCCTTGTGTTGTGTGTATTCAACTGACAGAGTTGAACCTTCCTTTAGACAGAGCAGATTCGAAACACTCTTTTTCTGCAATTTGCAAGTGGAGACTTCAAGTGCTTTGAGGCCAAAGGCAGAAAAGGAAATATCTTCGTATAAAAACCCGACAGAATCATTCTCAGAAACTGCTCTGTGATGTGTGCGTTCAACTCACAGAGTTTAACTTTTCTTTTCATTCAGCAGTTTGGAAACACTCTGTTTGTAAAGTCTGCAAGTGGATATCTTGGCCTCTTAGAGGCCTTCGTTGGAAACGGGTTTTTTCATGTAAGGTTAGACAGAGGAATTCCCAGTAACTTCCTTGTGTTGTGTGCATTCAACTCACAGATTTGAATGATTCTTTACACAGAGCAGATTTGAGCCACTCTTTTGGTGGAATTTGTAAGTGGAGAATTCAGCCGCTTTGAGGTCAATGGTAGAAAAGGAAATATCTTCGTATAAAAACTAGACAGAATGATTCTCAGAAACTGTTTTGTGATGTGTGCGTTCAACTCACAGAGTTTAACCTTTCTTTTCAAAGAGCAGTTAGGAAACACTCTGTTTGTAAAGTCTGCAAGTGCATATTCAGACCTCTTTGAGGCCTTCGTTGCAAACGGGATTTCTTCATATTATGCTAGACAGATGAATTCTCAGTAACTTCCTTGTGTTGTGTGTATTCAACTCACAGAGTTGAACGATCCTTTACACAGAGCAGATTTGAAACACTGTTTTTCTGGAATTTGCAAGTGGAGATTTCAGCCGCTTTGAGGTCAATGGTAGAAAAGGAAATATCTTCGTATAAAAACTAGACAGAATGATTCTCAGAAACTCCTTTGTGATGTGTGCGTTCAACTCACAGAGTTTAACCTTTCTTTTCACAGAGCAGTTAGGAAACACTCTGTGAAGCCTGCCAGTGGATATTCGGACCTCTTTGAGGCCTTCGTTGGAAACGGGATTTCTTCATATTATGCTAGACAGAAGATTTCTCAGTAACTTCTTTGTGTTGTGTGTATGCAACTCACAGAGTTCAACCTTCCTTTAGACAGAGCAGATTTGAAACACTCTTTTTGTGGAATTTGCAAGTGGAGATTTCAAGCGCTTCGATGCCAATGGTAGAAAAGGAAATATCTTCGTATAAAACAAGACAAACTCGTTCCCAGACACTGCATAGTGATGTGTGTGTTTAACTCACAGAGTTTCACCTTTCTTTTCATACAGCATTCTGGAAACCCTGTGTTTGTAAAGTCTGCAAGTGGATATTTGGACCTCTTAGATGCCTTCGTTGGAAACGGGATTTCTTCATATAATGCTAGAGGGAAGAATTCTTAGTAACTTCTTTGTGTTGTGTGTATTCAACTGACAGAGTTGAACCTTCCTTTAGACAGAGCAGATTTGAAACACTCTTTTTCTGGAATTTGCAAGTGGAGATTTCAAGCGCTTTGAGGCCAAAGGCAGAAAATGAAATATTTTCCTATAAAAACTAGACAGAACCATTCTCAGAAACTGCTCTTTGATGTGTGCGTTCAACTCACAGAGTTTACCTTTTCTTTTCATTCAGCAGTTTGGAAACACTCTGTTTGTAATGTCTGCACGTGGATATACTGACCTCTTTGAGGCCTTCGTTGGAAACGGGTTTTTTTGATGTAAGGCTTGACAGAAGAAATCTCAGTAACTTCCTTGTGTTGTGTGTATTCAACTGACAGAGTTGAACCTTCCTTTAGACAGAAGCAGATTCGAAACACTCTTTTTCTGCAATTAGCAAGTGGAGACTTCAAGCGCTTTGAGGCCAAAGGCAGAAAAGGAAATATCTTCGTATAAAAACCCGACAGAATCATTCTCAGAAACTGCTCTGTGATGTGTGCGTTCAACTCACAGAGTTTAACTTTTCTTTTCATTCAGCAGTTTGGAAACACTCTGTTTGTAAAGTCTGCATGTGGATATCTTGGCCTCTTAGAGGCCTTCGTTGGAAACGGGTTTTTTCATGTAAGGATAGACAGAGGAATTCCCAGTAACTTCCTTGTGTTGTGTGCATTCAACTCACAGAGTTGAACGATTCTTTACACAGAGCAGATTTGAGACACTCTTTTGGTGGAATTTGTAAGTGGAGAATTCAGCCGCTTTGAGGTCAACGGTAGAAAAGGAAATATCTTCGTATTAAAACTAGACAGAATGATTCTCAGAAACTGTTTTGTGATGTGTGCGTTCAACTCACAGAGTTTAACCTTTCTTTTCAGAGAGCAGTTAGGAAACACTCTGTAAAGTCTGCAAGTGGATATTCAGACCTCTTTGAGGCCTTCGTTGGAAACGGGATTTCTTCATATTATGCTAGACAGATGAATTCTCAGTAACTTCCTTGTGTTGTGTGTATTCAACTCACAGAGTTGAACGATCCTTTACACAGAGCAGATTTGAAACACTGTATTTCTGGAATTTGCAAGTGGAGATTTCAGCCGCTTTGAGGTCAATGGTAGAAAAGGAAATATCTTCGTATAAAAACTAGACAGAATGATTCTCAGAAACTCCTTTGTGATGTGTGCGTTCAACTCACAGAGTTTAACCTGTCTTTTCACAGAGCAGTTAGGAAACACTCTGTTTGTGAAGCCTGCCAGTGGATATTCGGACCTCTTTGAGGCCTTCGTTGGAAACGGGATTTCTTCGTATTATGCTAGACAGAAGATTTCTCAGTAACTTCTTTGTGTTGTGTGTATGCAACTCACAGAGTTCAACCTTCCTTTAGACAGAGCAGATTTGAAACACTCTTTTTGTGGAATTTGCAAGTGGAGATTTCAAGCGCTTCGATGCCAATGGTAGAAAAGGAAATATCTTCGTATAAAAACAAGACAAACTCGTTCCCAGACACTGCGTAGTGATGTGTGTGTTTAACTCACAGAGTTTAACCTTTCTTTTCATACAGCATTCTGGAAACCCTCTGTTTGTAAAGTCTGCAAGTGGATATTTGGACCTCTTAGATGCCTTCGTTGGAAACGGGATTTCTTCATATAATGCTAGAGGGAAGAATTCTTAGTAACTTCTTTGTGTTGTGTGTATTCAACTGACAGAGTTGAACCTTCCTTTAGACAGAGCAGATTTGAAAGTCTCTTTTTGTGGAATTTGCAAGTGGAGATTTCAAGCGCTTTGAGGCCAAAAGCAGAAAAGGAAATATTTTCCTATAAAAACTAGACAGAATCTTTCTCAGAAACTGCTCTGGGATGTGTGCGTTCAACTCACAGAGTTTAACTTTCTTTTCATTCAGCAGTTTGGAAACACTCTGTTTGGAAAGTCTGCACGTGGATATTTTGACCTCTTTGAGGCCTTCGTTGGAAACGGGTTTTTTTCATGTAAGGCTAGACAGAAGAAATCTCAGTAACTTCCTTGTGTTGTGTGTATTCAACTGACAGAGTTGAACCTTCCTTTAGACAGAGCAGATTCGAAACACTCTTTTTCTGCAATTTGCAAGTGGAGACTTCAAGCGCTTTGAGGCCAAAGGCAGAAAAGGAAATATCTTCGTATAAAAACCCGACAGAATCATTCTCAGAAACTGCTCTGTGATGTGTGCGTTCAACTCACAGAGTTTAACTTTTCTTTTCATTCAGCAGTTTGGAAACACTCTGTTTGTAAAGTCTGCAAGTGGATATCTTGGCCTCTTAGAGGCCTTCGTTGGAAACGGGTTTTTTCATGTAAGGTTAGACAGAGGAATTCCCAGTAACTTCCTTGTGTTGTGTGCATTCAACTCACAGAGTTGAATGATTCTTTACACAGAGCACTTTTGAGACACTCTTTTGGTGGAATTTGTAAGTGGAGAATTCAGCCGCTTTGAGGTCAACGGTAGAAAAGGAAATATCTTCGTATAAAAACTAGACAGAATGATTCTCAGAAACTGTTTTGTGATGTGTGCGTTCAACTCACAGAGTTTAACCTTTCTTTTCAAAGAGCAGTTAGGAAACACTCTGTTTGTAAAGTCTGCAAGTGGATATTCAGACCTCTTTGAGGCCTTCGTTGGAAACGGGATTTCTTCATATTATGCTAGACAGATGAATTCTCAGTAACTTCCTTGTGTTGTGTGTATTCAACTCACAGAGTTGAACGATCCTTTACACAGAGCAGATTTGAAACACTGTTTTTCTGGAATTTGCAAGTGGAGATTTCAGCCGCTTTGAGGTCAACGGTAGAAAAGGAAATATCTTCGTATAAAAACTAGACAGAATGATTCTCAGAAACTCCTTTGTGATGTGTGCGTTCAACTCACAGAGTTTAACCTTTCTTTTCACAGAGCAGTTAGGAAACACTCTGTTTGTGAAGCCTGCCAGTGGATATTCGGACCTCTTTGAGGCCTTCGTTGGAAACGGGATTTCTTCATATTATGCTAGACAGAAGATTTCTCAGTAACTTCTTTGTGTTGTGTGTATGCAACTCACAGAGTTCAACCTTCCTTTAGAGAGAGCATATTTGAAACACTCTTTTTGTGGAATTTGCAAGTGGAGATTTCAAGCGCTTCGATGCCAATGGTAGAAAAGGAAATATCTTCGTATAAAAACAAGACAAAACTCGTTCCCAGTACACTGCGTAGTGATGTGTGTGTTTAACTCACAGAGTTTCACCTTTCTTTTCATACAGCATTCTGGAAACCCTCTGTTTGTAAAGTCTGCAAGTGGATATTTGGACCTCTTAGATGCCTTCGTTGGAAACGGGATTTCTTCATATAATGCTAGAGGGAAGAATTCTTAGTAACTTCTTTGTGTTGTGTGTATTCAACTGACAGAGTTGAACCTTCCTTTAGACAGAGCAGATTTGAAAGTCTCTTTTTGTGGAATTTGCAAGTGGAGATTTCAAGCGCTTTGAGGCCAAAAGCAGAAAAGGACATATTTTCCTATAAAAACTAGACAGAATCATTCTCAAAACTGCTCTGTGACGTGTGCGATCAACTCACAGAGTTTAACGTTTCATTCAGCAGTTTGGAAACACTCTGTTTGTAAAGTCTGCAAGTGGATATTATGACCTCTTTGAGGCCTTCCTTGGAAACGGGTTTTTTTCATGTAAGGCTATACAGAAGAAATCTCAGTAACTTCCTTGTGTTGTGTGTATTCAACTGACAGAGTTGAACCTTCCTTTAGACAGAGCAGATTCGAAACACTCTTTTTCTGCAATTTGCAAGTGGAGACTTCAAGCGCTTTGAGGCCAAAGGCAGAAAAGGAAATATCTTCGTATAAAAACCCGACAGAATCATTCTCAGAAACTGCTCTGTGATGTGTGCGTTCAACTCACAGAGTTTAACTTTTCTTTTCATTCAGCAGTTTGGAAACACTCTGTTTGTAAAGTCTGCAAGTGGATATCTTGGCCTCTTAGAGGCCTTCGTTGGAAACGGGTTTTTTCATGTAAGGTTAGACAGAGGAATTCCCAGTAACTTTCCTTGTGTTGTGTGCATTCAACTCACAGAGTTGAATGATTCTTTACACAGAGCAGTTTTGAGACACTCTTTTGGTGGAATTTGTAAGTGGAGAATTCAGCCGCTTTGAGGTCAACGGTAGAAAAGGAAATATCTTCGTATAAAAACTAGACAGAATCATTCTCAAAACTGCTCTGTGATGTGTGCGTTCAACTCACAGAGTTTAACTTTTCATTCAGCAGTTTGGAAACACTCTGTTTGTAAAGTCTGCAACTGGATATTTTGACCTCTTTGAGGCCTTCGTTGAAAACGGGTTTTTTTCATGTAAGGCTAGAAGAAGAAATCTCAGTAACTTCCTTGTGTTGTGGGTATTGAACTGAGAGAGTTGAACCTTCCTTTAGACAGAGCAGATTCGAAACACTCTTTTTGTGCAATTTGCAAGTGGAAACTTCAAGCGCTTTGAGGCCAAAGGCAGAAAAGGAAATATCTTCGTATAAAAACCCGACAGAATCATTCTCAGAAACTGCTCTGTGATGTGTGCGTTCAACTCACAGAGTTTAACTTTTCTTTTCATTCAGCACTTTGCAAACACTCTGTTTGTAAAGTCTACAAGTGGATATATTGACCTCTTTGAGGCCTTCGTTGGAAAAGGGTTTTTTCATGTAAGGCTAGACAGAGGAATTCCCAGTAACTTCCTTGTGTTGTGTGCATTCAACTCACAGAGTTGAATGATTCTTTACACAGAGCAGATTTGAGACACTCTTTTGGTGGAATCTGTAAGTGGAGAATTCAGCCGCTTTGAGGTCAATGGTAGAAAAGGAAATATCTTCCTATAAAAACAAGACAAAATCATTCCCAGAAACTGCGTAGTGATGTGTGTGTTTAACTCACAGAGTTTAACCTTTCTTTTCATACAGCATTCTGGAAACACTCTGTTTGTAAAGTCTACAAGTGCATATTTGGACCTCTTTGATGCCTTCGTTGGAAACGGGATTTCTTCATATAATGCTAGAGGGAAGAATTCTTAGTAACTTCTTTGTGTTGTGTGTATTCAACTGACAGAGTTGAACCTTCCTTTAGAAAGAGCAGATTTGAAAGTCTCTTTTTGTGGAATTTGCAAGTGGAGATTTCAAGCGCTTTGAGGCCAAAACAGAAAAGGAAATATTTTCCTATAAAAACTAGACAGAATCTTTCTCAGAAACTGCTCTGGGATGTGTGCGTTCAACTCACAGAGTTTAACTTTTCTTTTCATTCAGCAGTTTGGAAACACTCTGTTTGGAAAGTCTGCACGTGGATATTTTGACCTCTTTCAGGCCTTCGTTGGAAACGGGTTTTTTTCATGTAAGGCTAGACAGAAGAAATCTCAGTAACTTCCTTGTGTTGTGTGTATTCAACTGACAGAGTTGAACCTTCCTTTAGACAGAGCAGATTCGAAACACTCTTTTTCTGCAATTTGCAAGTGGAGACTTCAAGCGCTTTGAGGCCAAAGGCAGAAAAGGAAATATCTTCGTATAAAAACCCGACAGAATCATTCTCAGAAACTGCTCTGTGATGTGTGCGTTCAACTCACAGAGTTTAACTTTTCTTTTCATTCAGCAGTTTGGAAACACTCTGTTTGTAAAGTCTGCAAGTGGATATCTTGGCCTCTTAGAGGCCTTCGTTGGAAGCGGGTTTTTTCATGTAAGGATAGACAGAGGAATTCCCAGTAACTTCCTTGTGTTGTATGCATTCAACTCACAGAGTTGAATGATTCTTTACACAGAGCAGATTTGAGACACTCTTTTGGTGGAATTTGAAAGTGGAGAATTCAGCCGCTTTGAGGTCAACGGTAGAAAAGGAAATATCTTCGTATAAAAACTAGAAAGAATGATTCTCAGAAACTGTTTTGTGATGTGTGCTTTCAACTCACAGAGTTTAACCTTTCTTTTCAAAGAGCAGTTAGGAAACACTCTGTTTGTAAAGTCTGCAAGTGGATATTCAGACCTCTTTGAGGCCTTCGTTGGAAACGGGATTTCTTCATATTATGCTAGACAGATGAATTCTCAGTAACTTCCTTGTGTTGTGTGTATTCAACTCACAGAGTTGAACGATCCTTTACACAGAGCAGATTTGAAACACTGTTTTTCTGGAATTTGCAAGTGGAGATTTCAGCCGCTTTGAGGTCAATGGTAGAAAAGGAAATATCTTCGTATAAAAACTAGACAGAATGATTCTCAGAAACTCCTTTGTGATGTGTGCGTTCAACTCACAGAGTTTAACCTTTCTTTTCACAGAGCAGTTAGGAAACACTCTGTTTGTGAAGCCTGCCAGTGGATATTCGGACCTCTTTGAGGCCTTCGTTGGAAACGGGATTTCTTCATATTATGCTAGACAGAAGATTTCTCAGTAACTTCTTTGTGTTGTGTGTATGCAACTCACAGAGTTCAACCTTCCTTTAGACAGAGCAGATTTGAAACACTCTTTTTGTGGAATTTGCAAGTGGAGATTTCAAGCGCTTCGATGCCAATGGTAGAAAAGGAAATATCTTCGTATAAAAACAAGACAAACTCGTTCCCAGACACTGCGTAGTGATGTGTGTGTTTAACTCACAGAGTTTAACCTTTCTTTTCATACAGCATTCTGGAAACCCTGTGTTTGTAAAGTCTGCAAGTGGATATTTGGACCTCTTAGATGCCTTCGTTGGAAACGGGATTTCTTCATATAATGCTAGAGGGAAGAATTCTTAGTAACTTCTTTGTGTTGTGTGTATTCAACTGACAGAGTTGAACCTTCCTTTAGACAGAGCAGATTTGAAAGTCTCTTTTTGTGGAATTTGCAAGTGGAGATTTCAAGCGCTTTGAGGCCAAAAGCAGAAAAGGAAATATTTTCCTATAAAAACTAGACAGAATCTTTCTCAGAAACTGCTCTGGGATGTGTGCGTTCAACTCACAGAGTTTAACTTTTCTTTCCATTCAGCAGTTTGGAAACACTCTGTTTGGAAAGTCTGCACGTGGATATTTTGACCTCTTTGAGGCCTTCGTTGGAAACGGGTGTTTTTCATGTAAGGCTAGACAGAAGAAATCTCAGTAACTTCCTTGTGTTGTGTGTATTCAACTGACAGAGTTGAACCTTCCTTTAGACAGAGCAGATTCGAAACACTCTTTTTCTGCAATTTGCAAGTGGAGACTTCAAGCGCTTTGAGGCCAAAGGCAGAAAAGGAAATATCTTCGTATAAAAACCCGACAGAATCATTCTCAGAAACTGCTCTGTGATGTGTGCGTTCAACTCACAGAGTTTAACTTTTCTTTTCATTCAGCAGTTTGGAAACACTCTGTTTGTAAAGTCTGCAAGTGGATATCTTGGCCTCTTAGAGGCCTTCGTTGGAAACGGGTTTTTTCATGTAAGGTTAGACAGAGGAATTCCCAGTAACTTCCTTGTGTTGTGTGCATTCAACTCACAGAGTTGAATGATTCTTTACACAGAGCAGTTTTGAGACACTCTTTTGGTGGAATTTGTAAGTGGAGAATTCAGCCGCTTTGAGGTCAACGGTAGAAAAGGAAATATCTTCGTATAAAAACTAGACAGAATGATTCTCAGAGACTGTTTTGTGATGTGTGCGTTCAACTCACAGAGTTTAACCTTTCTTTTCAAAGAGCAGTTAGGAAACACTCTGTTTGTAAAGTCTGCAAGTGGATATTCAGACCTCTTTGAGGCCTTCGTTGGAAACGGGATTTCTTCATATTATGCTAGACAGATGAATTCTCAGTAACTTCCTTGTGTTGTGTGTATTCAACTCACAGAGTTGAACGATCCTTTACACAGAGCAGATTTGAAACACTGTTTTCCTGGAATTTGCAAGTGGAGATTTCAGCCGCTTTGAGGTCAATGGTAGAAAAGGAAATATCTTCGTATAAAAACTAGACAGAATGATTCTCAGAAACTCCTTTGTGATGTGTGCGTTCAACTCACAGGGTTTAACCTTTCTTTTCACAGAGCAGTTAGGAAACACTCTGTTTGTGAAGCCTGCCAGTGGATATTCGGACCTCTTTGAGGCCTTCGTTGGAAACGGGATTTCTTCATATTATGCTAGACAGAAGATTTCTCAGTAACTTCTTTGTGTTGTGTGTATGCAACTCACAGAGTTCAACCTTCCTTTAGACAGAGCAGATTTGAAACACTCTTTTTGTGGAATTTGCAAGTGGAGATTTCAAGCGCTTCGATGCCAATGGTAGAAAAGGAAATATCTTCGTATAAAAACAAGACAAACTCGTTCCCAGACACTGCGTAGTGATGTGTGTGTTTAACTCACAGAGTTTCACCTTTCTTTTCATACAGCATTCTGGAAACCCTGTGTTTGTAAAGTCTGCAAGTGGATATTTGGACCTCTTAGATGCCTTCGTTGGAAACGGGATTTCTTCATATAATGCTAGAGGGAAGAATTCTTAATAACTTCTTTGTGTTGTGTGTATTCAACTGACAGAGTTGAACCTTCCTTTAGACAGAGCAGATTTGAAAGTCTCTTTTTGTGGAATTTGCAAGTGGAGATTTCAAGCGCTTTGAGGCCAAAAGCAGAAAAGGAAATATTTTCCTATAAAAACTCGACAGAATCTTTCTCAGAAACTGCTCTGGGATGTGTGCGTTCAACTCACAGAGTTTAACTTTTCTTTTCATTCAGCAGTTTGGAAACACTCTGTTTGGAAAGTCTGCACGTGGATATTTTGACCTCTTTGAGGCCTTCGTTGGAAACGGGTTTTTTTCATGTAAGGCTAGACAGAAGAAATCTCAGTAACTTCCTTGTGTTGTGTGTATTCAACTGACAGAGTTGAACCTTCCTTTAGACAGAGCAGATTCGAAACACTCTTTTTCTGCAATTTGCAAGTGGAGACTTCAAGCGCTTTGAGGCCAAAGGCAGAAAAGGAAATATCTTCGTATAAAAACCCGACAGAATCATTCTCAGAAACTGCTCTGTGATGTGTGCGTTCAACTCACAGAGTTTAACTTTTCTTTTCATTCAGCAGTTTGGAAACACTCTGTTTGTAAAGTCTGCAAGTGGATATCTTGGCCTCTTAGAGGCCTTCGTTGGAAACGGGTTTTTTCATGTAAGGTTAGACAGAGGAATTCCCAGTAACTTCCTTGTGTTGTGTGCATTCAACTCACAGAGTTGAATGATTCTTTACACAGAGCAGATTTGAGACACTCTTTTGGTGGAATTTGTAAGTGGAGAATTCAGCCGCTTTGAGGTCAACGGTAGAAAAGGAAATATCTTCGTATAAAAACTAGACAGAATGATTCTCAGAAACTGTTTTGTGATGTGTGCGTTCAACTCACAGAGTTTAACCTTTCTTTTCAAAGAGCAGTTAGGAAACACTCTGTTTGTAAAGTCTGCAAGTGGATATTCAGACCTCTTTGAAGCCTTCGTTGGAAACGGGATTTCTTCATATTATGCTAGACAGATGAATTCTCAGTAACTTCCTTGTGTTGTGTGTATTCAACTCACAGAGTTGAACGATCCTTTACACAGAGCAGATTTGAAACACTGTTTTTCTGGAATTTGCAAGTGGAGATTTCAGCCGCTTTGAGGTCAATGGTAGAAAAGGAAATATCTTCGTATAAAAACTAGACAGAATGATTCTCAGAAACTCCTTTGTGATGTGTGCGTTCAACTCACAGAGTTTAACCTTTCTTTTCACAGAGCAGTTAGGAAACACTCTGTTTGTGAAGCCTGCCAGTGGATATTCGGACCTCTTTGAGGCCTTCGTTGGAAACGGGATTTCTTCATATTATGCTAGACAGAAGATTTCTCAGTAACTTCTTTGTGTTGTGTGCATGCAACTTACAGAGTTCAACCTTCCTTTAGAGAGAGCATATTTGAAACACTCTTTTTGTGGAATTTGCAAGTGGAGATTTCAAGCGCTTCGATGCAAATGGTAGAAAAGGAAATATCTTCGTAGAAAAACAAGACAAACTCGTTCCCAGACACTGCGTAGTGATGTGTGTGTTTAACTCACAGAGTTTAACCTTTCTTTTCATACAGCATTCTGGAAACCCTGTGTTTGTAAAGTCTGCAAGTGGATATTTGGACCTCTTAGATGCCTTCGTTGGAAACGGGATTTCTTCATATAATGCTAGAGGGAAGAATTCTTAGTAACTTCTTTGTGTTGTGTGTATTCAACTGACAGAGTTGAACCTTCCTTTAGACAGAGCAGATTTGAAAGTCTCTTTCTGTGGAATTTGCAAGTGGAGATTTCAAGCGCTTTGAGGCCAAAAGCAGAAAAGGAAATATTTTCCTATAAAAACTCGACAGAATCTTTCTCAGAAACTGCTCTGGGATGTGTGCGTTCAACTCACAGAGTTTAACTTTTCTTTTCATTCAGCAGTTTGGAAACACTCTGTTTGGAAAGTCTGCACGTGGATATTTTGACCTCTTTGAGGCCTTCGTTGGAAACGGGTTTTTTTCATGTAAGGCTAGACAGAAGAAATCTCAGTAACTTCCTTGTGTTGTGTGTATTCAACTGACAGAGTTGAACCTTCCTTTAGACAGAGCAGATTCGAAACACTCTTTTTCTGCAATTTGCAAGTGGACACTTCAAGCGCTTTGAGGCCAAAGGCAGAAAAGGAAATATCTTCGTATAAAAACCCGACAGAATCACTCTCAGAAACTGCTCTGTGATGTGTGCGTTCAACTCACAGAGTTTAACTTTTCTTTTCATTCAGCAGTTTGGAAACACTCTGTTTGTAAAGTCTGCAAGTGGATATCTTGGCCTCTTAGAGGCCTTCGTTGGAAACGGGTTTTTTCATGTAAGGTTAGACAGAGGAATTCCCAGTAACTTCCTTGTGTTGTGTGCATTCAACTCACAGAGTTGAATGATTCTTTACAGAGAGCAGATTTGAGACACTCTTTTGGTGGAATTTGTAAGTGGAGAATTCAGCCGCTTTGAGGTCAACGGTAGAAAAGGAAATATCTTCGTATAAAAACTAGACAGAATGATTATCAGAAACTGTTTTGTGATGTGTGCGTTCAACTCACAGAGTTTAACCTTTCTTTTCAAAGAGCAGTTAGGAAACACTCTGTTTGTAAAGTCTGCAAGTGGATATACAGACCTCTTTGAGGCCTTCGTTGGAAACGGGATTTCTTCATATTATGCTAGACAGATGAATTCTCAGTAACTTCCTTGTGTTGTGTGTATTCAACTCACAGAGTTGAACGATCCTTTACACAGAGCAGATTTGAAACACTGTTTTTCTGGAATTTGCAAGTGGAGATTTCAGCCGCTTTGAGGTCAATGGTAGAAAAGGAAATATCTTCGTATAAAAACTAGACAGAATGATTCTCAGAAACTCCTTTGTGATGTGTGCGTTCAACTCACAGAGTTTAACCTTTCTTTTCACAGAGCAGTTAGGAAACACTCTGTTTGTGAAGCCTGCCAGTGGATAATCGGACCTCTTTGAGGCCTTCGTTGGAAACGGGATTTCTTCATATTATGCTAGACAGAAGATTTCTCAGTAACTTCTTTGTGTTGTGTGTATGCAACTTACAGAGTTCAACCTTCCTTTAGAGAGAGCATATTTGAAACACTCTTTTTGTGGAATTTGCAAGTGGAGATTTCAAGCGCTTCGATGCAAATGGTAGAAAAGGAAATATCTTCGTATAAAAACAAGACAAACTCGTTCCCAGACACTGCGTAGTGATGTGTGTGTTTAACTCACAGAGTTTAACCTTTCTTTTCATACAGCATTCTGGAAACCCTGTGTTTGTAAAGTCTGCAAGTGGATATTTGGACCTCTTAGATGCCTTCGTTGGAAACGGGATTTCTTCATATAATGCTAGAGGGAAGAATTCTTAGTAACTTCTTTGTGTTGTGTGTATTCAACTGACAGAGTTGAACCTTCCTTTAGACAGAGCAGATTTGAAAGTCTCTTTTTGTGGAATTTGCAAGTGGAGATTTCAAGCGCTTTGAGGCCAAAAGCAGAAAAGGAAATATTTTCCTATAAAAACTAGACAGAATCATTCTCAGAAACTGCTCTGTGATGTGTGCGTTCAACTCACAGAGTTTAACTTTTCTTTTCATTCAGCAGTTTGGAAACACTGTTTGGAAAGTCTGCACGTGGATATTTTGACCTCTTTGAGGCCTTCGTTGGAAACGGGTTTTTTTCATGTAAGGCTAGACAGAAGAAATCTCAGTAACTTCCTTGTGTTGTGTGTATTCAACTGACAGAGTTGAACCTTCCTTTAGACAGAGCAGATTCGAAACACTCTTTTTCTGCAATTTGCAAGTGGAGACTTCAAGCACTTTGAGGCCAAAGGCAGAAAAGGAAATATCTTCGTATAAAAACCCGACAGAATCATTCTCAGAAACTGCTCTGTGATGTGTGCGTTCAACTCACAGAGTTTAACTTTTCTTTTCATTCAGCAGTTTGGAAACACTCTGTTTGTAAAGTCTGCAAGTGGATATCTTGGCCTCTTAGAGGCCTTCGTTGGAAACGGGTTTTTTCATGTAAGGATAGACAGAGGAATTCCCAGTAACTTCCTTGTGTTGTGTGCATTCAACTCACAGAGTTGAATGATTCTTTACACAGAGCAGATTTGAGACACTCTTTTGGTGGAATTTGTAAGTGGAGAATTCAGCCGCTTTGAGGTCAACGGTAGAAAAGGAAATATCTTCGTATAAAAACTAGACAGAATGATTCTCAGAAACTGTTTTGTGATGTGTGCGTTCAACTCACAGAGTTTAACCTTTCTTTTCAGAGAGCAGTTAGGAAACACTCTGTTTGTAAAGTCTGCAAGTGGATATTCAGACCTCTTTGAGGCCTTCGTTGGAAACGGGATTTCTTCATATTATGCTAGACAGATGAATTCTCAGTAACTTCCTTGTGTTGTGTGTATTCAACTCACAGAGTTGAACGATCCTTTACACAGAGCAGATTTGAAACACTGTTTTTCTGGAATTTGCAAGTGGAGATTTCAGCCGCTTTGAGGTCAATGGTAGAAAAGGAAATATCTTCGTATAAAAACTAGACAGAATGATTCTCAGAAACTCCTTTGTGATGTGTGCGTTCAACTCACAGAGTTTAACCTTTCTTTTCACAGAGCAGTTAGGAAACACTCTGTTTGTGAAGCCTGCCAGTGGATAATCGGACCTCTTTGAGGCCTTCGTTGGAAACGGGATTTCTTCATATTATGCTAGACAGAAGATTTCTCAGTAACTTCTTTGGGTTGTGTGTATGCAACTCACAGAGTTCAACCTTCCTTTAGAGAGAGCATATTTGAAACACTCTTTTTGTGGAATTTGCAAGTGGAGATTTCAAGCGCTTCGATGCCAATGGTAGAAAAGGAAATATCTTCGTATAAAAACAAGACAAAATCATTCCCAGAAACTGCGTAGTGCTGTGTGTGTTTAACTCACAGAGTTTAACCTTTCTTTTCATACAGCATTCTGGAAACCCTCTGTTTGTAAAGTCTGCAAGTGGATATTTGGACGTCTTAGATGCCTTCGTTGGAAACGGGATTTCTTCATATAATGCTAGAGGGAAGAATTCTTAGTAACTTCTTTGTGTTGTGTATATTCAACTGACAGAGTTGAACCTTCCTTTAGACAGAGCAGATTTGAAAGTCTCTTTTTGTGGAATTTGCAAGTGGAGATTTCAAGCGCTTTGAGGCCAAAAGCAGAAAAGGAAATATTCTCCTATAAAAACTAGACAGAATCTTTCTCAGAAACTGCTCTGGGATGTGTGCGTTCAACTCACAGAGTTTAACTTTTCTTTTCATTCAGCAGTTTGGAAACACTCTGTTTGGAAAGTCTGCACGTGGATATTTTGACCTCTTTGAGGCCTTCGTTGGAAACGGGTTTTTTTCATGTAAGGCTAGACAGAAGAAATCTCAGTAACTTCCTTGTGTTGTGTGTATTCAACTGACAGAGTTGAACCTTCCTTTAGACAGAGCAGATTCGAAACACTCTTTTTCTGCAATTTGCAAGTGGAGACTTCAAGCGCTTTGAGGCCAAAGGCAGAAAAGGAAATATCTTCGTATAAAAACCCGACAGAATCATTCTCAGAAACTGCTCTGTGATGTGTGCGTTCAACTCACAGAGTTTAACTTTTCTTTTCATTCAGCAGTTTGGAAACACTCTGTTTGTAAAGTCTGCAAGTGGATATCTTGGCCTCTTAGAGGCCTTCGTTGGAAACGGGTTTTTTCATGTAAGGTTAGACAGAGGAATTCCCAGTAACTTCCTTGTGTTGTGTGCATTCAACTCACAGAGTTGAATGATTCTTTACACAGAGCAGATTTGAGACACTCTTTTGGTGGAATTTGTAAGTGGAGAATTCAGCCGCTTTGAGGTCAACGGTAGAAAAGGAAATATCTTCGTATAAAAACTAGACAGAATGATTCTCAGAAACTGTTTTGTGATGTGTGCGTTCAACTCACAGAGTTTAACCTTTCTTTTCAAAGAGCAGTTAGGAAACACTCTGTTTGTAAAGTCTGCAAGTGGATATTCAGACCTCTTTGAGGCCTTCGTTGGAAACGGGATTTCTTCATATTATGCTAGACAGATGAATTCTCAGTAACTTCCTTGTGTTGTGTGTATTCAACTCACAGAGTTGAACGATCCTTTACACAGAGCAGATTTGAAACACTGTTTTTCTGGAATTTGCAAGTGGAGATTTCAGCCGCTTTGAGGTCAATGGTAGAAAAGGAAATATCTTCGTATAAAAACTAGACAGAATGATTCTCAGAAACTCCTTTGTGATGTGTGCGTTCAACTCACAGAGTTTAACCTTTCTTTTCACAGAGCAGTTAGGAAACACTCTGTTTGTGAAGCCTGCCAGTGGATATTCGGACCTCTTTGAGGCCTTCGTTGGAAACGGGATTTCTTCATATTATGCTATTCAGAAGATTTCTCAGTAACTTCTTTGTGTTGTGTGTATGCAACTCACAGAGTTCAACCTTCCTTTAGACAGAGCAGATTTGAAACACTCTTTTTGTGGAATTTGCAAGTGGAGATTTCAAGCGCTTCGATGCCAATGGTAGAAAAGGAAATATCTTCGTATAAAAACAAGACAAACTCGTTCCCAGACACTGCGTAGTGATGTGTGTGTTTAACTCACAGAGTTTCACCTTTCTTTTCATACAGCATTCTGGAAACCCTCTGTTTGTAAAGTCTGCAAGTGGATATTTGGACCTCTTAGATGCCTTCGTTGGAAACGGGATTTCTTCATATAATGCTAGAGGGAAGAATTCTTAGTAACTTCTTTGTGTTGTGTGTATTCAACTGACAGAGTTGAACCTTCCTTTAGACAGAGCAGATTTGAAAGTCTCTTTTTGTGGAATTTGCAAGTGGAGATTTCAAGCGCTTTGAGGCCAAAAGCAGAAAAGGAAATATTTTCCTATAAAACCTCGACAGAATCTTTCTCAGAAACTGCTCTGGGATGTGTGCGTTCAACTCACAGAGTTTAACTTTTCTTTTCATTCAGCAGTTTGGAAACACTCTGTTTGGAAAGTCTGCACGTGGATATTTTGACCTCTTTGAGGCCTTCGTTGGAAACGGGTTTTTTTCATGTAAGGCTAGACAGAAGAAATCTCAGTAACTTCCTTGTGTTGTGTGTATTCAACTGACAGAGTTGAACCTTCCTTTAGACAGAGCAGATTCGAAACACTCTTTTTCTGCAATTTGCAAGTGGAGACTTCAAGCGCTTTGAGGCCAAAGGCAGAAAAGGAAATATCTTCGTATAAAAACCCGACAGAATCATTCTCAGAAACTGCTCTGTGATGTGTGCGTTCAACTCACAGAGTTTAACTTTTCTTTTCATTCAGCAGTTTGGAAACACTCTGTTTGTAAAGTCTGCAAGTGGATATCTTGGCCTCTTAGAGGCCTTCGTTGGAAACGGGTTTTTTCATGTAAGGTTAGACAGAGGAATTCCCAGTAACTTCCTTGTGTTGTGTGCATTCAACTCACAGAGTTGAATGATTCTTTACACAGAGCAGATTTGAGACACTCTTTTGGTGGAATTTGTAAGTGGAGAATTCAGCCGCTTTGAGGTCAACGGTAGAAAAGGAAATATCTTCGTATAAAAACTAGACAGAATGATTCTCAGAAACTGTTTTGTGATGTGTGAGTTCAACTCACAGAGTTTAACCTTTCTTTTCAAAGAGCAGTTAGGAAACACTCTGTTTGTAAAGTCTGCAAGTGGATATTCAGACCTCTTTGAGGCCTTCGTTGGAAACGGGATTTCTTCATATTATGCTAGACAGATGAATTCTCAGTAACTTCCTTGTGTTGTGTGTATTCAACTCACAGAGTTGAACGATCCTTTACACAGAGCAGATTTGAAACACTGTTTTTCTGGAATTTGCAAGTGGAGATTTCAGCCGCTTTGAGGTCAATGGTAGAAAAGGAAATATCTTCGTATAAAAACTAGACAGAATGATTCTCAGAAACTCCTTTGTGATGTGTGCGTTCAACTCACAGAGTTTAACCTTTCTTTTCACAGAGCAGTTAGGAAACACTCTGTTTGTGAAGCCTGCCAGTGGATATTCGGACCTCTTTGAGGCCTTCGTTGGAAACGGGATTTCTTCATATTATGCTAGACAGAAGATTTCTCAGTAACTTCTTTGGGTTGTGTGTATGCAACTCACAGAGTTCAACCTTCCTTTAGACAGAGCAGATTTGAAACACTCTTTTTGTGGAATTTGCAAGTGGAGATTTCAAGCGCTTCGATGCCAATGGTAGAAAAGGAAATATCTTCGTATAAAAACAAGACAAACTCGTTCCCAGACACTGCGTAGTGATGTGTGTGTTTAACTCACAGAGTTTCACCTTTCTTTTCATACAGCATTCTGGAAACCCTCTGTTTGTAAAGTCTGCAAGTGGATATTTGGACCTCTTAGATGCCTTCGTTGGAAACGGGATTTCTTCATATAATGCTAGAGGGAAGAATTCTTAGTAACTTCTTTGTGTTGTGTGTATTCAACTGACAGAGTTGAACCTTCCTTTAGACAGAGCAGATTTGAAAGTCTCTTTTTGTGGAATTTGCAAGTGGAGATTTCAAGCGCTTTGAGGCCAAAAGCAGAAAAGGAAATATTTTCCTATAAAAACTAGACAGAATCTTTCTCAGAAACTGCTCTGGGATGTGTGCGTTCAACTCACAGAGTTTAACTTTTCTTTTCATTCAGCAGTTTGGAAACACTCTGTTTGGAAAGTCTGCACGTGGATATTTTGACCTCTTTGAGGCCTTCGTTGGAAACAGGTTTTTTTCATGTAAGGCTAGACAGAAGAAATCTCAGTAACTTCCTTGTGTTGTGTGTATTCAACTGACAGAGTTGAACCTTCTTTTAGACAGAGCAGATTCGAAACACTCTTTTTCTGCAATTTGCAAGTGGAGACTTCAAGCGCTTTGAGGCCAAAGGCAGAAAAGGGAATATCTTCGTATAAAAACCCGACAGAATCATTCTCAGAAACTGCTCTGTGATGTGTGCGTTCAACTCACAGAGTTTAACTTTTCTTTTCATTCAGCAGTTTGGAAACACTCTGTTTGTAAAGTCTGCAAGTGGATATCTTGGCCTCTTAGAGGCCTTCGTTGGAAACGGGTTTTTTCATGTAAGGATAGGACAGAGGAATTCCCAGTAACTTCCTTGTGTTGTGTGCATTCAACTCACAGAGTTGAATGATTCTTTACACAGTAGCAGATTTGAGACACACTTTTGGTGGAATTTGTAAGTGGAGAATTCAGCCGCTTTGAGGTCAACGGTAGAAAAGGAAATATCTTCGTATAAAAACTAGAAAGAATGATTCTCAGAAACTGTTTTGTGATGTGTGCGTTCAACTCACAGAGTTTAACCTTTCTTTTCAAAGAGCAGTTAGGAAACACTCTGTTTGTAAAGTCTGCAAGTGGATATTCAGACCTCTTTGAAGCCTTCGTTGGAAACGGGATTTCATCATATTATGCTAGACAGATGAATTCTCAGTAACTTCCTTGTGTTGTGTGTATTCAACTCACAGAGTTGAACGATCCTTTACACAGAGCAGATTTGAAACACTGTTTTTCTGGAATTTGCAAGTGGAGATGTCAGCCGCTTTGAGGTCAATGGTAGAAAAGGAAATATCTTCGTATAAAAACTAGACAGAATGATTCTCAGAAACTCCTTTGTGATGTGTGCGTTCAACTCACAGAGTTTAACCTTTCTTTTCACAGAGCAGTTAGGAAACACTCTGTTTGTGAAGCCTGCCAGTGGATATTCGGACCTCTTTGAGGCCTTCGTTGGAAACGGGATTTCTTCATATTATGCTAGACAGAAGATTTCTCAGTAACTTCTTTGTGTTGTGTGTATGCAACTCACAGAGTTCAACCTTCCTTTAGACAGAGCAGATTTGAAACACTCTTTTTGTGGAATTTGCAAGTGGAGATTTCAAGCGCTTTGAGGCCAAAAGCAGAAAAGGAAATATTTTCCTATAAAAACTAGACAGAATCTTTCTCAGAAACTGCTCTGTGATGTGTGCGTTCAACTCACAGAGTTCAACTTTTCTTTTCATTCAGCAGTTTGGAAACACTCTGTTTGTAAAGTCTGCAAGTGGATATCTTGGCCTCTTAGAGGCCTTCAGTTGGAAACGGGTTTTTTCATGTAAGGATAGACAGAGGAATTCCCAGTAACTTTCCTTGTGTTGTGTGCATTCAACTCACAGAGTTGAATGATTCTTTTCACAGAGCAGATTTGAGACACTCTTTTGGTGGAATTTGTAAGTGGAGAATTCAGCCGCTTTGAGGTCAACGGTAGAAAAGGAAATATCTTCGTATAAAAACTAGACAGAATGATTCTCAGAAACTGTTTTGTGATGTGTGCGTTCAACTCACAGAGTTTAACCTTTCTTTTCAAAGAGCAGTTAGGAAACACTCTGTTTGTAAAGTCTGCAAGTGGATATTCAGACCTCTTTGAGGCCTTCGTTGGAAACGGGATTTCTTCATATTATGCTAGACAGATGAATTCTCAGTAACTTCCTTGTGTTGTGTGTATTCAACTCACAGAGTTGAACGACCCTTTACACAGAGCAGATTTGAAACACTGTTTTTCTGGAATTTGCAAGTGGAGATTTCAGCTGCTTTGAGGTCAATGGTAGAAAAGGAAATATCTTCGTATAAAAACTAGACAGAATGATTCTCAGAAACTCCTTTGTGATGTGTGCGTTCAACTCACAGAATTTAACCTTTCTTTTCACAGAGCAGTTAGGAAACACTCTGTTTGTGAAGCCTGCCCGTGGATATTCGGACCTCTTTGAGGTCTTCGTTGGAAACGGGATTTCTTCATATTATGCTAGACAGAAGATTTCTCAGTAACTTCTTTGTGTTGTGTGTATGCAACTCACAGAGTTCAACCTTCCTTTAGACAGAGCAGATCTGAAACACTCTTTTTGTGGAATTTGCAAGTGGAAATTTCAAGCGCATCGATGCCAATGGTAGAAAAGGAAATATCTTCGTATAAAAACAAGACAAACTCGTTCCCAGACACTGCGTAGTGATGTGTGTGTTTAACTCACAGAGTTTAACCTTTCTTTTCATACAGCATTCTGGAAACCCTGTGTTTGTAAAGTCTGCAAGTGGATATTTGGACCTCTTAGATGCCTTCGTTGGAAACGGGATTTCTTCATATAATGCTAGAGGGAAGAATTCTTAGTAACTTCTTTGTGTTGTGTGTATTCAACTGACAGAGTTGAACCTTCCTTTAGACAGAGCAGATTTGAAAGTCTCTTTTTGTGGAATTTGCAAGTGGAGATTTCAAGCGCTTTGAGGCCAAAAGCAGAAAAGGAAGTATTTTCCTATAAAAACTCGACAGAATCTTTCTCAGAAACTGCTCTGGGATGTGTGCGTTCAACTCACAGAGTTTAACTTTTCTTTTCATTCAGCAGTTTGGAAACACTCTGTTTGGAAAGTCTGCACGTGGATATTTTGACCTCTTTGAGGCCTTCGTTGGAAACGGGTTTTTTTCATGTAAGGCTAGACAGAAGAAATCTCAGTAACTTCCTTGTGTTGTGTGTATTCAACTGACAGAGTTGAACCTTCCTTTAGACAGAGCAGATTGGAAACACTCTTTTTCTGCAATTTGCAAGTGGAGACTTCAAGCGCTTTGAGGCCAAAGGCAGAAAAGGAAATATCTTCGTATAAAAACCCGACAGAATCATTCTCAGAAACTGCTCTGTGATGTGTGCGTTCAACTCACAGAGTTTAACTTTTCTTTTCATTCAGCAGTTTGGAAACACTCTGTTTGTAAAGTCTGCAAGTGGATATCTTGGCCTCTTAGAGGCCTTCGTTGGAAACGGGTTTTTTCATGTAAGGATAGACAGAGGAATTCCCAGTAACTTCCTTGTGTTGTGTGCATTCAACTCACAGAGTTGAATGATTCTTTACACAGAGCAGATTTGAGACACTCTTTTGGTGGAATTTGTAAGTGGAGAATTCAGCCGCTTTGAGGTCAACGGTAGAAAAGGAAATATCTTCGTATAAAAACTAGACAGAATGATTCTCAGAAACTGTTTTGTGATGTGTGCGTTCAACTCACAGAGTTTAACCTTTCTTTTCAGAGAGCAGTTAGGAAACACTCTGTTTGTAAAGTCTGCAAGAGGATATTCAGACCTCTTTGAGGCCTTCGTTGGAAACGGGATTTCTTCATATTATGCTAGACAGATGAATTCTCAGTAACTTCCTTGTGTTGTGTGTATTCAACTCACAGAGTTGAACGATCCTTTACACAGAGCAGATTTGAAACACTGTTTTTCTGGAATTTGCAAGTGGAGATTTCAGCCGCTTTGAGGTCAATGGTAGAAAAGGAAATATCTTCGTATAAAAACTAGACAGAATGATTCTCAGAAACTCCTTTGTGATGTGTGCGTTCAACTCACAGAGTTCAACCTTTCTTTTCACAGAGCAGTTAGGAAACACTCTGTTTGTGAAGCCTGCCAGTGGATATTCGGACCTCTTTGAGGCCTTCGTTGGAAACGGGATTTCTTCGTATTATGCTAGACAGAAGATTTCTCAGTAACTTCTTTGTGTTGTGTGTATGCAACTCACAGAGTTCAACCTTCCTTTAGACAGAGCAGATTTGAAACACTCTTTTTGTGGAATTTGCAAGTGGAGATTTCAAGCGCTTCGATGCCAATGGTAGAAAAGGAAATATCTTCGTATAAAAACAAGACAAACTCGTTCCCAGACACTGCGTAGTGATGTGTGTGTTTAACTCACAGAGTTTAACCTTTCTTTTCATACAGCATTCTGGAAACCCTGTGTTTGTAAAGTCTGCAAGTGGATATTTGGACCTCTTAGATGCCTTCGTTGGAAACGGGATTTCTTCATATAATGCTAGAGGGAAGAATTCTTAGTAACTTCTTTGTGTTCTGTGTATTCAACTGACAGAGTTGAACCTTCCTTTAGACAGAGCAGATTTGAAAGTCTCTTTCTGTGGAATTTGCAAGTGGAGATTTCAAGCGCTTTGAGGCCAAAAGCAGAAAAGGAAATATTTTCCTATAAAAACTAGACAGAATCTTTCTCAGAAACTGCTCTGGGATGTGTGCGTTCAACTCACAGAGTTTAACTTTTCTTTTCATTCAGCAGTTTGGAAACACTCTGTTTGGAAAGTCTGCACGTGGATATTTTGACCTCTTTGAGGCCTTCGTTGGAAACGGGTTTTTTTCATGTAAGGCTAGACAGAAGAAATCTCAGTAACTTCCTTGTGTTGTGTGTATTCAACTGACAGAGTTGAACCTTCCTTTAGACAGAGCAGATTCGAAACACTCTTTTTCTGCAATTTGCAAGTGGAGACTTCAAGCGCTTTGAGGCCAAAGGCAGAAAAGGAAATATCTTCGTATAAAAACCCGACAGAATCATTCTCAGAAACTGCTCTGTGATGTGTGCGTTCAACTCACAGAGTTTAACTTTTCTTTTCATTCAGCAGTTTGGAAACACTCTGTTTGTAAAGTCTGCAAGTGGATATCTTGGCCTCTTAGAGGCCTTCGTTGGAAACGGGTTTTTTCATGTAAGGTTAGACAGAGGAATTCCCAGTAACTTCCTTGTGTTGTGTGCACTCAACTCACAGAGTTGAATGATTCTTTACACAGAGCAGATTTGAGACACTCTTTTGGTGGAATTTGTAAGTGGAGAATTCAGCTGCTTTGAGGTCAACGGTAGAAAAGGAAATATCTTCGTATAAAAACTAGACAGAATGATTCTCAGAAACTGTTTTGTGATGTGTGCTTTCAACTCACAGAGTTTAACCTTTCTTTTCAAAGAGCAGTTAGGAAACACTCTGTTTGTAAAGTCTGCAAGTGGATATTCAGACCTCTTTGAGGCCTTCGTTGGAAACGGGATTTCTTCATATTATGCTAGACAGATGAATTCTCAGTAACTTCCTTGTGTTGTGTGTATTCAACTCACAGAGTTGAACGATCCTTTACACAGAGCAGATTTGAAACACTGTTTTTCTGGAATTTGCAAGTGGAGATGTCAGCCGCTTTGAGGTCAATGGTAGAAAAGGAAATATCTTCGTATAAAAACTAGACAGAATGATTCTCAGAAACTCCTTTGTGATGTGTGCGTTCAACTCACAGGGTTTAACCTTTCTTTTCACAGAGCAGTTAGGAAACACTCTGTTTGTGAAGCCTGCCAGTGGATATTCGGACCTCTTTGAGGCCTTCGTTGGAAACGGGATTTCTTCATATTATGCTAGACAGAAGATTTCTCAGTAACTTCTTTGTGTTGTGTGTATGCAACTCACAGAGTTCAACCTTCCTTTAGACAGAGCAGATTTGAAACACTCTTTTTGTGGAATTTGCAAGTGGAGATTTCAAGCGCTTCGATGCCAATGGTAGAAAAGGAAATATCTTCGTATAAAAACAAGACAAACTCGTTCCCAGACACTGCGTAGTGATGTGTGTGTTTAACTCACAGAGTTTCACCTTTCTTTTCATACAGCATTCTGGAAACCCTCTGTTTGTAAAGTCTGCAAGTGGATATTTGGACCTCTTAGATGCCTTCGTTGCAAACGGGATTTCTTCATATAATGCTAGAGGGAAGAATTCTTAGTAACTTCTTTGTGTTGTGTGTATTCAACTGACAGAGTTGAACCTTCCTTTAGACAGAGCAGATTTGAAAGTCTCTTTTTGTGGAATTTGCAAGTGGAGATTTCAAGCGCTTTGAGGCCAAAAGCAGAAAAGGAAATATTTTCCTATAAAAACTAGACAGAATCTTTCTCAGAAACTGCTCTGGGATGTGTGCGTTCAACTCACAGAGTTTAACTTTTCTTTTCATTCAGCAGTTTGGAAACACTCTGTTTGGAAAGTCTGCACGTGGATATTTTGACCTCTTTGAGGCCTTCGTTGGAAACGGGTTTTTTTCATGTAAGGCTAGACAGAAGAAATCTCAGTAACTTCCTTGTGTTGTGTGTATTCAACTGACAGAGTTGAACCTTCTTTTAGACAGAGCAGATTCGAAACACTCTTTTTCTGCAATTAGCAAGTGGAGACTTCAAGCGCTTTGAGGCCAAAGGCAGAAAAGGAAATATCTTCGTATAAAAACCCGACAGAATCATTCTCAGAAACTGCTCTGTGATGTGTGCGTTCAACTCACAGAGTTTAACTTTTCTTTTCATTCAGCAGTTTGGAAACACTCTGTTTGTAAAGTCTGCAAGTGGATATCTTGGCCTCTTAGAGGCCTTCGTTGGAAATGGGTTTTTTCATGTAAGGTTAGACAGAGGAATTCCCAGTAACTTCCTTGTGTTGTGTGCATTCAACTCACAGAGTTGAATGATTCTTTACACAGAGCAGATTTGAGACACTCTTTTGGTGGAATTTGTAAGTGGAGAATTCAGCCGCTTTGAGGTCAACGGTAGAAAAGGAAATATCTTCGTATAAAAACTAGACAGAATGATTCTCAGAAACTGTTTTGTGATGTGTGCGTTCAACTCACAGAGTTTAACCTTTCTTTTCAAAGAGCAGTTAGGAAACACTCTGTTTGTAAAGTCTGCAAGTGGATATTCAGACCTCTTTGAGGCCTTCGTTGGAAACGGGATTTCTTCATATTATGCTAGACAGATGAATTCTCAGTAACTTCCTTGTGTTGTGTGTATTCAACTCACAGAGTTGAACGATCCTTTACACAGAGCAGATTTGAAACACTGTTTTTCTGGAATTTGCAAGTGGAGATTTCAGCCGCTTTGAGGTCAATGGTAGAAAAGGAAATATCTTCGTATAAAAACTAGACAGAATGATTCTCAGAAACTCCTTTGTGATGTGTGCGTTCAACTCACAGAGTTTAACCTTTCTTTTCACAGAGCAGTTAGGAAACACTCTGTTTGTGAAGCCTGCCAGTGGATATTCGGACCTCTTTGAGGCCTTCGTTGGAAACGGGATTTCTTCATATTATGCTATTCAGAAGATTTCTCAGTAACTTCTTTGTGTTGTGTGTATGCAACTCACAGAGTTCAACCTTCCTTTAGACAGAGCAGATTTGAAACACTCTTTTTGTGGAATTTGCAAGTGGAGATTTCAAGCGCTTCGATGCCAATGGTAGAAAAGGAAATATCTTCGTATAAAAACAAGACAAACTCGTTCCCAGACACTGCGTAGTGATGTGTGTGTTTAACTCACAGAGTTTAACCTTTCTTTTCATACAGCATTCTGGAAACCCTGTGTTTGTAAAGTCTGCAAGTGGATATTTGGACCTCTTAGATGCCTTCGTTGGAAACGGGATTTCTTCATATAATGCTAGAGGGAAGAATTCTTAGTAACTTCTTTGTGTTGTGTGTATTCAACTGACAGAGTTGAACCTTCCTTTAGACAGAGCAGATTTGAAAGTCTCTTTTTTGTGGAATTTGCAAGTGGAGATTTCAAGTGCTTTGAGGCCAAAAGCAGAAAAGGAAATATTTTCCTATAAAAACTAGACAGAATCATTCTCAGAAACTGCTCTGTGATGTGTGCGTTCAACTCACAGAGTTTAACTTTTCTTTTCATTCAGCAGTTTGGAAACACTGTTTGGAAAGTCTGCACGTGGATATTTTGACCTCTTTGAGGCCTTCGTTGGAAACGGGTTTTTTTCATGTAAGGCTAGACAGAAGAAATCTCAGTAACTTCCTTGTGTTGTGTGTATTCAACTGACAGAGTTGAACCTTCCTTTAGACAGAGCAGATTCGAAACACTCTTTTTCTGCAATTTGCAAGTGGAGACTTCAAGCGCTTTGAGGCCAAAGGCAGAAAAGGAAATATCTTCGTATAAAAACCCGACAGAATCATTCTCAGAAACTGCTCTGTGATGTGTGCGTTCAACTCACAGAGTTTAACTTTTCTTTTCATTCAGCAGTTTGGAAACACTCTGTTTGTAAAGTCTGCAAGTGGATATCTTGGCCTCTTAGAGGCCTTCGTTGGAAACGGGTTTTTTCATTTAAGGTTAGACAGAGGAATTCCCAGTAACTTCCTTGTGTTGTGTGCATTCAACTCACAGAGTTGAATGATTCTTTACACAGAGCAGATTTGAGACACTCTTTTGGTGGAATTTGTAAGTGGAGAATTCAGCCGCTTTGAGGTCAACGGTAGAAAAGGAAATATCTTCGTATAAAAACTAGACAGAATGATTCTCAGAAACTGTTTTGTGATGTGTGCTTTCAACTCACAGAGTTTAACCTTTCTTTTCAAAGAGCAGTTAGGAAACACTCTGTTTGTAAAGTCTGCAAGTGGATATTCAGACCTCTTTGAGGCCTTCGTTGGAAACGGGATTTCTTCATATTATGCTAGACAGATGAATTCTCAGTAACTTCCTTGTGTTGTGTGTATTCAACTCACAGAGTTGAACGATCCTTTACACAGAGCAGATTTGAAACACTGTTTTTCTGGAATTTGCAAGTGGAGATTTCAGCCGCTTTGAGGTCAATGGTAGAAAAGGAAATATCTTCGTATAAAACTAGACAGAATGATTCTCAGAAACTCCTTTGTGATGTGTGCGTTCAACTCACAGAGTTTAACCTTTCTTTTCACAGAGCAGTTAGGAAACACTCTGTTTGTGAAGCCTGCCAGTGGATATTCGGACCTCTTTGAGGCCTTCGTTGGAAGCGGGATTTCTTCATATTATGCTAGACAGAAGAATTCTCAGTAACTTCCTTGTGTTGTGTGTATTCAACTCACAGAGTTGAACCATCTTTTACACAGAGAAGATCTGAAACACTCTTTTTGTGGAATTTGCAAGTGGAGATTTCAGCCACCTTGAGGTCAATGGTAGAAAAGGAAATATCTTCGTATAAAAACTAGACAGAATGACTCTCAGAAACTCCTTTGTGATGTGTGCATTCAACTCACAGAGTTTAACCTTTCTTTTCATACAGCATTCTGGAAACACTCTGTTTCTAAAGTCTGTAAGTGGATATCTGGACCTCTTAGATGCCTTCGCTGGAAACGGGATTTCTCCATATAATGCTAGAGGGAAGAATTCTTAGTAAACTCTTTGTGTTGTGTGTATTCAACTGACAGAGTTGAACCTTCCTTTAGACAGAGCAGATTTGAAACACTCTTTTTGTGGAATTTGCAAGTGGAGATTTCAAGCGCTTTGAGGCCAAAGGCAGAAAAGGAAATATTTTCCTATAAAAACTAGACAGAATCTTTCTCAGAAACTGCTCTGGGATGTGTGCGTTCAACTCACAGAGTTTAACTTTTCTTTTCATTCAGCAGTTTGGAAACACTCTGTTTGGAAAGTCTGCACGTGGATATTTTGACCTCTTTGAGGCCTTCGTTGGAAACGGGTTTTTTTCATGTAAGGCTAGACAGAAGAAATCTCAGTAACTTCCTTGTGTTGTGTGTATTCAACTGACAGAGTTGAACCTTCCTTTAGACAGAGCAGATTCGAAACACTCTTTTTCTGCAATTTGCAAGTGGAGACTTCAAGCGCTTTGAGGCCAAAGGCAGAAAAGGAAATATCTTCGTATAAAAACCCGACAGAATCATTCTCAGAAACTGCTCTGTGATGTGTGCGTTCAACTCACAGAGTTTAACTTTTCTTTTCATTCAGCAGTTTGGAAACACTCTGTTTGTAAAGTCTGCAAGTGGATATCTTGGCCTCTTAGAGGCCTTCGTTGGAAGCGGGTTTTTTCATGTAAGGATAGACAGAGGAATTCCCAGTAACTTTCCTTGTGTTGTATGCATTCAACTCACAGAGTTGAATGATTCTTTACACAGAGCAGATTTGAGACACTCTTTTGGTGGAATTTGTAAGTGGAGAATTCAGCCGCTTTGAGGTCAACGGTAGAAAAGGAAATATCTTCGTATAAAAACTAGAAAGAATGATTCCTCAGAAACTGGTTTTGTGATGTGTGCGTTCAACTCACAGAGTTTAACCTTTCTTTTCAAAGAGCAGTTAGGAAACACTCTGTTTGTAAAGTCTGCAAGAGGATATTCAGACCTCTTTGAGGCCTTCGTTGGAAACGGGATTTCTTCATATTATGCTAGACAGATGAATTCTCAGTAACTTCCTTGTGTTGTGTGTATTCAACTCACAGAGTTGAACGATCCTTTACACAGAGCAGATTTGAAACACTGTTTTTCTGGAATTTGCAAGTGGAGATTTCAGCCGCTTTGAGGTCAATGGTAGAAAAGGAAATATCTTCGTATAAAAACTAGACAGAATGATTCTCAGAAACTCCTTTGTGATGTGTGCGTTCAACTCACAGAGTTTAACCTTTCTTTTCACAGAGCAGTTAGGAAACACTCTGTTTGTGAAGCCTGCCAGTGGATATTCGGACCTCTTTGAGGCCTTCGTTGGAAACGGGATTTCTTCATATTATGCTAGACAGAAGATTTCTCAGTAACTTCTTTGTGTTGTGTGTATGCAACTCACAGAGTTCAACCTTCCTTTAGACAGAGCAGATTTGAAACACTCTTTTTGTGGAATTTGCAAGTGGAGATTTCAAGCGCTTCGATGCCAATGGTAGAAAAGGAAATATCTTCGTATAAAAACAAGACAAACTCGTTCCCAGACACTGCGTAGTGATGTGTGTGTTTAACTCACAGAGTTTAACCTTTCTTTTCATACAGCATTCTGGAAACCCTGTGTTTGTAAAGTCTGCAAGTGGATATTTGGACCTCTTAGATGCCTTCGTTGGAAACGGGATTTCTTCATATAATGCTAGAGGGAAGAATTCTTAGTAACTTCTTTGTGTTGTGTGTATTCAACTGACAGAGTTGAACCTTCCTTTAGACAGAGCAGATTTGAAAGTCTCTTTTTGTGGAATTTGCAAGTGGAGATTTCAAGCGCTTTGAGGCCAAAAGCAGAAAGGGAAATATTTTCCTATAAAAACTCGACAGAATCTTTCTCAGAAACTGCTCTGGGATGTGTGCGTTCAACTCACAGAGTTTAACTTTTCTTTTCATTCAGCAGTTTGGAAACACTCTGTTTGGAAAGTCTGCACGTGGATATTTTGACCTCTTTGAGGCCTTCGTTGGAAACGGGTTTTTTTCATGTAAGGCTAGACAGAAGAAATCTCAGTAACTTTCCTTGTGTTGTGTGTATTCAACTGACAGAGTTGAACCTTCTTTTAGACAGAGCAGATTCGAAACACTCTTTTTCTGCAATTTGCAAGTGGAGACTTCAAGCGCTTTGAGGCCAAAGGCAGAAAAGGAAATATCTTCGTATAAAAACCCGACAGAATCATTCTCAGAAACTGCTCTGTGATGTGTGCGTTCAACTCACAGAGTTTAACTTTTCTTTTCATTCAGCAGTTTGGAAACACTCTGTTTGTAAAGTCTGCAAGTGGATATCTTGGCCTCTTAGAGGCCTTCGTTGGAAACGGGTTTTTTCATGTAAGGTTAGACAGAGGAATTCCCAGTAACTTCCTTGTGTTGTGTGCATTCAACTCACAGAGTTGAATGATTCTTTACACAGAGCAGATTTGAGACACTCTTTTGGTGGAATTTGTAAGTGGAGAATTCAGCCGCTTTGAGGTCAACGGTAGAAAAGGAAATATCTTCGTATAAAAACTAGACAGAATGATTCTCAGAAACTGTTTTGTGATGTGTGCGTTCAACTCACAGAGTTTAACCTTTCTTTTCAAAGAGCAGTTAGGAAACACTCTGTTTGTAAAGTCTGCAAGTGGATATTCAGACCTCTTTGAGGCCTTCGTTGGAAACGGGATTTCTTCATATTATGCTAGACAGATGAATTCTCAGTAACTTCCTTGTGTTGTGTGTATTCAACTCACAGAGTTGAACGATCCTTTACACAGAGCAGATTTGAAACACTGTTTTTCTGGAATTTGCAAGTGGAGATTTCAGCCGCTTTGAGGTCAATGGTAGAAAAGGAAATATCTTCGTATAAAAACTAGACAGAATGATTCTCAGAAACTCCTTTGTGATGTGTGCGTTCAACTCACAGAGTTTAACCTTTCTTTTCACAGAGCAGTTAGGAAACACTCTGTTTGTGAAGCCTGCCAGTGGATATTCGGACCTCTTTGAGGCCTTCGTTGGAAACGGGATTTCTTCATATTATGCTAGACAGAAGATTTCTCAGTAACTTCTTTGTGTTGTGTGTATGCAACTCACAGAGTTCAACCTTCCTTTAGACAGAGCAGATTTGAAACACTCTTTTTGTGGAATTTGCAAGTGGAGATTTCAAGCGCTTCGATGCCAATGGTAGAAAAGGAAATATCTTCGTATAAAAACAAGACAAACTCGTTCCCAGACACTGCGTAGTGATGTGTGTGTTTAACTCACAGAGTTTCACCTTTCTTTTCATACAGCATTCTGGAAACCCTCTGTTTGTAAAGTCTGCAAGTGGATATTTGGACCTCTTAGATGCCTTCGTTGGAAACGGGATTTCTTCATATAATGCTAGAGGGAAGAATTCTTAGTAACTTCTTTGTGTTTTGTGTATTCAACTGACAGAGTTGAACCTTCCTTTAGACAGAGCAGATTTGAAAGTCTCTTTTTGTGGAATTTGCAAGTGGAGATTTCAAGCGCTTTGAGGCCAAAAGCAGAAAAGGAAATATTTTCCTATACAAACTCGACAGAATCTTTCTCAGAAACTGCTCTGGGATGTGTGTGTTCAACTCACAGAGTTTAACTTTCTTTTCATTCAGCAGTTTGGAAACACTCTGTTTGGAAAGTCTGCACGTGGATATTTTGACCTCTTTGAGGCCTTCGTTGGAAACGGGTTTTTTTCATGTAAGGCTAGACAGAAGAAATCTCAGTAACTTCCTTGTGTTGTGTGTATTCAACTGACAGAGTTGAACCTTCCTTTAGACAGAGCAGATTCGAAACGCTCTTTTTCTGCAATTTGCAAGTGGAGACTTCAAGCGCTTTGAGGCCAAGGCAGAAAAGGAAATATCTTCGTATAAAAACCCGACAGAATCATTCTCAGAAACTGCTCTGTGATGTGTGCGTTCAACTCACAGAGTTTAACTTTTCTTTTCATTCAGCAGTTTGGAAACACTCTGTTTGTAAAGTCTGCAAGTGGATATCTTGGCCTCTTAGAGGCCTTCGTTGGAAACGCGTTTTTTCATGTAAGGTTAGACAGAGGAATTCCCAGTAACTTCCTTGTGTTGTGTGCATTCAACTCACAGAGTTGAATGATTCTTTACACAGAGCAGATTTGAGACACACTTTTGGTGGAATTTGTAAGTGGAGAATTCAGCCGCTTTGAGGTCAACGGTAGAAAAGGAAATATCTTCGTATAAAAACTAGAAAGAATGATTCTCAGAAACTGTTTTGTGATGTGTGCGTTCAACTCACAGAGTTTAACCTTTCTTTTCAAAGAGCAGTTAGGAAACACTCTGTTTGTAAAGTCTGCAAGTGGATATTCAGACCTCTTTGAAGCCTTCGTTGGAAACGGGATTTCATCATATTATGCTAGACAGATGAATTCTCAGTAACTTCCTTGTGTTGTGTGTATTCAACTCACAGAGTTGAACGATCCTTTACACAGAGCAGATTTGAAACACTGTTTTTCTGGAATTTGCAAGTGGAGATTTCAGCCGCTTTGAGGTCAATGGTAGAAAAGGAAATATCTTCGTATAAAAACTAGACAGAATGATTCTCAGAAACTCCTTTGTGATGTGTGCGTTCAACTCACAGAGTTTAACCTTTCTTTTCACAGAGCAGTTAGGAAACACTCTGTTTGTGAAGCCTGCCAGTGGATATTCGGACCTCTTTGAGGCCTTCGTTGGAAACGGGATTTCTTCATATTTTGCTAGACAGAAGATTTCTCAGTAACTTCTTTGTGTTGTGTGTATGCAACTCACAGAGTTCAACCTTCCTTTAGACAGAGCAGATTTGAAACACTCTTTTTGTGGAATTTGCAAGTGGAGATTTCAAGCGCTTCGATGCCAATGGTAGAAAAGGAAATATCTTCGTATAAAAACAAGACAAACTCGTTCCCAGACACTGCGTAGTGATGTGTGTGTTTAACTCACAGAGTTTAACCTTTCTTTTCATACAGCATTCTGGGAACCCTCTGTTTGTAAAGTCTGCAAGTGGATATTTGGACCTCTTAGATGCCTTCGTTGGAAACGGGATTTCTTCATATAATGCTAGAGGGAAGAATTCTTAGTAACTTCTTTGTGTTGTGTGTATTCAACTGACAGAGTTGAACCTTCCTTTAGACAGAGCAGATTTGAAAGTCTCTTTTTGTGGAATTTGCAAGTGGAGATTTCAAGCGCTTTGAGGCCAAAAGCAGAAAAGGAAATATTTTCCTATAAAAACTAGACAGAATCATTCTCAGAAACTGCTCTGTGATGTGTGTGTTCAACTCACAGAGTTTAACTTTCTTTTCATTCAGCAGTTTGGAAACACTCTGTTTGGAAAGTCTGCACGTGGATATTTTGACCTCTTTGAGGCCTTCGTTGGAAACGGGTTTTTTTCATGTAAGGCTAGACAGAAGAAATCTCAGTAACTTCCTTGTGTTGTGTGTATTCAACTGACAGAGTTGAACCTTCTTTTAGACAGAGCAGATTCGAAACACTCTTTTTCTGCAATTTGCAAGTGGAGACTTCAAGCGCTTTGAGGCCAAAGGCAGAAAAGGAAATATTCTTCGTATAAAAACCCGACAGAATCATTCTCAGAAACTGCTCTGTGATGTGTGCGTTCAACTCACAGAGTTTAACTTTTCTTTTCATTCAGCAGTTTGGAAACACTCTGTTTGTAAAGTCTGCAAGTGGATATCTTGGCCTCTTAGAGGCCTTCGTTGGAAGCGGGTTTTTTCATGTAAGGTTAGACAGAGGAATTCCCAGTAACTTCCTTGTGTTGTGTGCATTCAACTCACAGAGTTGAATGATTCTTTACACAGAGCAGATTTGAGACACTCTTTTGGTGGAATTTGTAAGTGGAGAATTCAGCCGCTTTGAGGTCAACGGTAGAAAAGGAAATATCTTCGTATAAAAACTAGACAGAATGATTCTCAGAAACTGTTTTGTGATGTGTGCGTTCAACTCACAGAGTTTAACCTTTCTTTTCAAAGAGCAGTTAGGAAACACTCTGTTTGTAAAGTCTGCAAGTGGATATTCAGACCTCTTTGAGGCCTTCGTTGGAAACGGGATTTCTTCATATTATGCTAGACAGATGAATTCTCAGTAACTTCCTTGTGTTGTGTGTATTCAACTCACAGAGTTGAACGATCCTTTACACAGAGCAGATTTGAAACACTGTTTTTCTGGGATTTGCAAGTGGAGATTTCAGCCGCTTTGAGGTCAATGGTAGAAAAGGAAATATCTTCGTATAAAAACTAGACAGAATGATTCTCAGAAACTCCTTTGTGATGTGTGCGTTCAACTCACAGAGTTTAACCTTTCTTTTCACAGAGCAGTTAGGAAACACTCTGTTTGTGAAGCCTGCCAGTGGATATTCGGACCTCTTTGAGGCCTTCGTTGGAAACGGGATTTCTTCATATTATGCTAGACAGAAGATTTCTCAGTAACTTCTTTGTGTTGTGTGTATGCAACTCACAGAGTTCAACCTTCCTTTAGACAGAGCAGATTTGAAACACTCTTTTTGTGGAATTTGCAAGTGGAGATTTCAAGCGCTTCGATGCCAATGGTAGAAAAGGAAATATCTTCGTATAAAAACAAGACAAACTCGTTCCCAGACACTGCGTAGTGATGTGTGTGTTTAACTCACAGAGTTTCACCTTTCTTTTCATACAGCATTCTGGAAACCCTCTGTTTGTAAAGTCTGCAAGTGGATATTTGGACCTCTTAGATGCCTTCGTTGGAAACGGGATTTCTTCATATAATGCTAGAGGGAAGAATTCTTAGTAACTTCTTTGTGTTGTGTGTATTCAACTGACAGAGTTGAACCTTCCTTTAGACAGAGCAGATTTGAAAGTCTCTTTTTGTGGAATTTGCAAGTGGAGATTTCAAGCGCTTTGAGGCCAAAAGCAGAAAAGGAAATATTTTCCTATAAAAACTCGACAGAATCTTTCTCAGAAACTGCTCTGGGATGTGTGCGTTCAACTCACAGAGTTTAACTTTTCTTTTCATTCAGCAGTTTGGAAACACTCTGTTTGGAAAGTCTGCACGTGGATATTTTGACCTCTTTGAGGCCTTCGTTGGAAACGGGTTTTTTTCATGTAAGGCTAGACAGAAGAAATCTCAGTAAATTCCCTTGTGTTGTGTGTATTCAACTGACAGAGTTGAACCTTCCTTTAGACAGAGCAGATTCGAAACACTCTTTTTCTGCAATTTGCAAGTGGAGACTTCAAGCGCTTTGAGGCCAAAGGCAGAAAAGGAAATATCTTCGTATAAAAACCCGACAGAATCATTCTCAGAAACTGCTCTGTGATGTGTGCGTTCAACTCACAGAGTTTAACTTTTCTTTTCATTCAGCAGTTTGGAAACACTCTGTTTGTAAAGTCTGCAAGTGGATATCTTGGCCTCTTAGAGGCCTTCGTTGGAAACGGGTTTTTTCATGTAAGGTTAGACAGAGGAATTCCCAGTAACTTCCTTGTGTTGTGTGCATTCAACTCACAGAGTTGAATGATTCTTTACACAGAGCAGATTTGAGACACTCTTTTGGTGGAATTTGTAAGTGGAGAATTCAGCCGCTTTGAGGTCAACGGTAGAAAAGGAAATATCTTCGTATAAAAACTAGACAGAATGATTCTCAGAAACTGTTTTGTGATGTGTGCGTTCAACTCACAGAGTTTAACCTTTCTTTTCAAAGAGCAGTTAGGAAACACTCTGTTTGTAAAGTCTGCAAGTGGATATTCAGACCTCTTTGAGGCCTTCGTTGGAAACGGGATTTCTTCATATTATGCTAGACAGATGAATTCTCAGTAACTTCCTTGTGTTGTGTGTATTCAACTCACAGAGTTGAACGATCCTTTACACAGAGCAGATTTGAAACACTGTTTTTCTGGAATTTGCAAGTGGAGATTTCAGCCGCTTTGAGGTCAATGGTAGAAAAGGAAATATCTTCGTATAAAAACTAGACAGAATGATTCTCAGAAACTCCTTTGTGATGTGTGCGTTCAACTCACAGAGTTTAACCTTTCTTTTCACAGAGCAGTTAGGAAACACTCTGTTTGTGAAGCCTGCCAGTGGATATTCGGACCTCTTTGAGGCCTTCGTTGGAAACGGGATTTCTTCATATTATGCTAGACAGAAGATTTCTCAGTAACTTCTTTGTGTTGTGTGTATGCAACTCACAGAGTTCAACCTTCCTTTAGACAGAGCAGATTTGAAACACTCTTTTTGTGGAATTTGCAAGTGGAGATTTCAAGCGCTTCGATGCCAATGGTAGAAAAGGAAATATCTTCGTATAAAAACAAGACAAACTCGTTCCCAGACACTGCGTAGTGATGTGTGTGTTTAACTCACAGAGTTTAACCTTTCTTTTCATACAGCATTCTGGAAACCCTCTGTTTGTAAAGTCTGCAAGTGGATATTTGGACCTCTTAGATGCCTTCGTTGGAAACGGGATTTCTTCGTATAATGCTAGAGGGAAGAATTCTTAGTAACTTCTTTGTGTTGTGTGTATTCAACTGACAGAGTTGAACCTTCCTTTAGACAGAGCAGATTTGAAAGTCTCTTTTTGTGGAATTTGCAAGTGGAGATTTCAAGCGCTTTGAGGCCAAAAGCAGAAAAGGAAATATTTTCCTATAAAAACTAGACAGAATCTTTCTCAGAAAACTGCTCTGGGATGTGTGCGTTCAACTCACAGAGTTTAACTATTCTTTCCATTCAGCAGTTTGGAAACACTCTGTTTGGAAAGTCTGCACGTGGATATTTTGACCTCTTTGAGGCCTTCGTTGGAAACGGGTTTTTTTCATGTAAGGCTAGACAGAAGAAATCTCAGTAACTTCCTTGTGTTGTGTGTATTCAACTGACAGAGTTGAACCTTCCTTTAGACAGAGCAGATTCGAAACACTCTTTTTCTGCAATTTGCAAGTGGAGACTTCAAGCGCTTTGAGGCCAAAGGCAGAAAAGGAAATATCTTCGTATAAAAACCCGACAGAATCATTCTCAGAAACTGCTCTGTGATGTGTGCGTTCAACTCACAGAGTTTAACTTTTCTTTTCATTCAGCAGTTTGGAAACACTCTGTTTGTAAAGTCTGCAAGTGGATATCTTGGCCTCTTAGAGGCCTTCGTTGGAAACGGGTTTTTTCATGTAAGGTTAGACAGAGGAATTCCCAGTAACTTCCTTGTGTTGTGTGCATTCAACTCACAGAGTTGAATGATTCTTTACACAGAGCAGATTTGAGACACTCTTTTGGTGGAATTTGTAAGTGGAGAATTCAGCCGCTTTGAGGTCAACGGTAGAAAAGGAAATATCTTCGTATAAAAACTAGACAGAATGATTCTCAGAAACTGTTTTGTGATGTGTGCGTTCAACTCACAGAGTTTAACCTTTCTTTTCAAAGAGCAGTTAGGAAACACTCTGTTTGTAAAGTCTGCAAGTGGATATTCAGACCTCTTTGAGGCCTTCGTTGGAAACGGGATTTCTTCATATTATGCTAGACAGATGAATTCTCAGTAACTTCCTTGTGTTGTGTGTATTCAACTCACAGAGTTGAACGATCCTTTACACAGAGCAGATTTGAAACACTGTTTTTCTGGAATTTGCAAGTGGAGATTTCAGCCGCTTTGAGGTCAATGGTAGAAAAGGAAATATCTTCGTATAAAAACTAGACAGAATGATTCTCAGAAACTCCTTTGTGATGTGTGCGTTCAACTCACAGAGTTTAACCTTTCTTTTCACAGAGCAGTTAGGAAACACTCTGTTTGTGAAGCCTGCCAGTGGATAATCGGACCTCTTTGAGGCCTTCGTTGGAAACGGGATTTCTTCATATTATGCTAGACAGAAGATTTCTCAGTAACTTCTTTGTGTTGTGTGTATGCAACTTACAGAGTTCAACCTTCCTTTAGAGAGAGCATATTTGAAACACTCTTTTTGTGGAATTTGCAAGTGGAGATTTCAAGCGCTTCGATGCAAATGGTAGAAAAGGAAATATCTTCGTATAAAAACAAGACAAACTCGTTCCCAGACACTGCGTAGTGATGTGTGTGTTTAACTCACAGAGTTTAACCTTTCTTTTCATACAGCATTCTGGAAACCCTGTGTTTGTAAAGTCTGCAAGTGGATATTTGGACCTTTTAGATGCCTTCGTTGGAAACGGGATTTCTTCATATAATGCTAGAGGGAAGAATTCTTAGTAACTTCTTTGTGTTGTGTGTATTCAACTGACAGAGTTGAACCTTCCTTTAGACAGAGCAGATTTGAAAGTCTCTTTTTGTGGAATTTGCAAGTGGAGATTTCAAGCGCTTTGAGGCCAAAAGCAGAAAAGGAAATATTTTCCTATAAAAACTAGACAGAATCTTTCTCAGAAACTGCTCTGGGATGTGTGCGTTCAACTCACAGAGTTTAACTTTTCTTTTCATTCAGCAGTTTGGAAACACTCTGCTTGGAAAGTCTGCACGTGGATATTTTGACC
Organism: Homo sapiens; assembly: GCF_000001405.40. Taxonomy (NCBI): domain Eukaryota; kingdom Metazoa; phylum Chordata; class Mammalia; order Primates; family Hominidae; genus Homo; species Homo sapiens. The sequence continues at coordinate 36,389,746 of NC_000016.10, forward strand.
TCTTTGAGGCCTTCGTTGGAAACGGGTTTTTTTCATGTAAGGCTAGACAGAAGAAATCTCAGTAACTTCCTTGTGTTGTGTGTATTCAACTGACAGAGTTGAACCTTCCTTTAGACAGAGCAGATTCGAAACACTCTTTTTCTGCAATTTGCAAGTGGAGACTTCAAGCGCTTTGAGGCCAAAGGCAGAAAAGGAAATATCTTCGTAGAAAAACCCGACAGAATCATTCTCAGAAACTGCTCTGTGATGTGTGCGTTCAACTCACAGAGTTTAACTTTTCTTTTCATTCAGCAGTTTGGAAACACTCTGTTTGTAAAGTCTGCAAGTGGATATCTTGGCCTCTTAGAGGCCTTCGTTGGAAACGGGTTTTTTCATGTAAGGTTAGACAGAGGAATTCCCAGTAACTTCCTTGTGTTGTGTGCATTCAACTCACAGAGTTGAATGATTCTTTACACAGAGGAGATTTGAGACACTCTTTTGGTGGAATTTGTAAGTGGAGAATTCAGCCGCTTTGAGGTCAACGGTAGAAAAGGAAATATCTTCGTATAAAAACTAGACAGAATGATTCTCAGAAACTGTTTTGTGATGTGTGCGTTCAACTCACAGAGTTTAACCTTTCTTTTCAAAGAGCAGTTAGGAAACACTCTGTTTGTAAAGTCTGCAAGTGGATATTCAGACCTCTTTGAGGCCTTCGTTGGAAACGGGATTTCTTCATATTATGCTAGACAGATGAATTCTCAGTAACTTCCTTGTGTTGTGTGTATTCAACTCACAGAGTTGAACGATCCTTTACACAGAGCAGATTTGAAACACTGTTTTTCTGGAATTTGCAAGTGGAGATTTCAGCCGCTTTGAGGTCAATGGTAGAAAAGGAAATATCTTCGTATAAAAACTAGACAGAATGATTCTCAGAAACTCCTTTGTGATGTGTGCGTTCAACTCACAGAGTTTAACCTTTCTTTTCACAGAGCAGTTAGGAAACACTCTGTTTGTGAAGCCTGCCAGTGGATATTCGGACCTCTTTGAGGCCTTCGTTGGAAACGGGATTTCTTCATATTATGCTAGACAGAAGATTTCTCAGTAACTTCTTTGTGTTGTGTGTATGCAACTCACAGAGTTCAACCTTCCTTTAGACAGAGCAGATTTGAAACACTCTTTTTGTGGAATTTGCAAGTGGGGATTTCAAGCGCTTTGAGGCCAAAAGCAGAAAAGGAAATATTTTCCTATAAAAACTAGACAGAATCTTTCTCAGAAACTGCTCTGTGATGTGTGCGTTCAACTCACAGAGTTTAACTTTTCTTTTCATTCAGCAGTTTGGAAACACTCTGTTTGTAAAGTCTGCAAGTGGATATCTTGGCCTCTTAGAGGCCTTCGTTGGAAACGGGTTTTTTCATGTAAGGATAGACAGAGGAATTCCCAGTAACTTCCTTGTGTTGTGTGCATTCAACTCACAGAGTTGAACGATTCTTTACACAGAGCAGATTTGAGACACTCTTTTGGTGGAATTTGTAAGTGGAGAATTCAGCCGCTTTGAGGTCAACGGTAGAAAAGGAAATATCTTCGTATAAAAACTAGACAGAATGATTCTCAGAAACTGTTTTGTGATGTGTGCGTTCAACTCACAGAGTTTAACCTTTCTTTTCAGAGAGCAGTTAGGAAACACTCTGTAAAGTCTGCAAGTGGATATTCAGACCTCTTTGAGGCCTTCGTTGGAAACGGGATTTCTTCATATTATGCTAGACAGATGAATTCTCAGTAACTTCCTTGTGTTGTGTGTATTCAACTCACAGAGTTGAACGATCCTTTACACAGAGCAGATTTGAAACACTGTTTTTCTGGAATTTGCAAGTGGAGATTTCAGCCGCTTTGAGGTCAATGGTAGAAAAGGAAATATCTTCGTATAAAAACTAGACAGAATGATTCTCAGAAACTCCTTTGTGATGTGTGCGTTCAACTCACAGAGTTTAACCTTTCTTTTCACAGAGCAGTTAGGAAACACTCTGTTTGTGAAGCCTGCCAGTGGATATTCGGACCTCTTTGAGGCCTTCGTTGGAAACGGGATTTCTTCATATTATGCTAGACAGAAGATTTCTCAGTAACTTCTTTGTGTTGTGTGTATGCAACTCACAGAGTTCAACCTTCCTTTAGACAGAGCAGATTTGAAACACTCTTTTTGTGGAATTTGCAAGTGGAGATTTCAAGCGCTTCGATGCCAATGGTAGAAAAGGAAATATCTTCGTATAAAAACAAGACAAACTCGTTCCCAGACACTGCGTAGTGATGTGTGTGTTTAACTCACAGAGTTTCACCTTTCTTTTCATACAGCATTCTGGAAACCCTCTGTTTGTAAAGTCTGCAAGTGGATATTTGGACCTCTTAGATGCCTTCGTTGGAAACGGGATTTCTTCATATAATGCTAGAGGGAAGAATTCTTAGTAACTTCTTTGTGTTGTGTGTATTCAACTGACAGAGTTGAACCTTCCTTTAGACAGAGCAGATTTGAAAGTCTCTTTTTGTGGAATTTGCAAGTGGAGATTTCAAGCGCTTTGAGGCCAAAAGCAGAAAAGGAAATATTTTCCTATAAAAACTAGACAGAGTCTTTCTCAGAAACTGCTCTGGGATGTGTGCGTTCAACTCACAGAGTTTAACTTTTCTTTTCATTCAGCAGTTTGGAAACACTCTGTTTGGAAAGTCTGCACGAGGATATTTTGACCTCTTTGAGGCCTTCGTTGGAAACGGGTTTTTTTAATGTAACGCTAGACAGAAGAAATCTCAGTAACTTCCTTGTGTTGTGTGTATTCAACTGACAGAGTTGAACCTTCCTTTAGACAGAGCAGATTTGAAACACTCTTTTTGTGGAATTTGCAAGTGGAGATTTCAAGCGCTTTGAGGCCAAAAGCAGAAAAGGAAATATTTTCCTATAAAAACTAGACAGAATCTTTCTCAGAAACTGCTCTGTGATGTGTGCGTTCAACTCACAGAGTTTAACTTTTCTTTTCATTCAGCAGTTTGGAAACACTCTGTTTGTAAAGTCTGCAAGTGGATATCTTGGCCTCTTAGAGGCCTTCGTTGGAAACGGGTTTTTTCATGTAAGGATAGACAGAGGAATTCCCAGTAACTTCCTTGTGTTGTGTGCATTCAACTCACAGAGTTGAATGATTCTTTACACAGAGCAGATTTGAGACACTCTTTTGGTGGAATTTGTAAGTGGAGAATTCAGCCGCTTTGAGGTCAACGGTAGAAAAGGAAATATCTTCGTATAAAAACTAGACAGAATGATTCTCAGAAACTCCTTTGTGATGTGTGCGTTCAACTCACAGAGTTTAACCTTTCTTTTCACAGAGCAGTTAGGAAACACTCTGTTTGTGAAGCCTGCCAGTGGATATTCGGACCTCTTTGAGGCCTTCGTTGGAAACGGGATTTCTTCATATTATGCTAGACAGAAGATTTCTCAGTAACTTCTTTGTGTTGTGTGTATGCAACTCACAGAGTTCAACCTTCCTTTAGAGAGAGCATATTTGAAACACTCTTTTTGTGGAATTTGCAAGTGGAGATTTCAAGCGCTTCGATGCCAATGGTAGAAAAGGAAATATCTTCGTATAAAAACAAGACAAACTCGTTCCCAGACACTGCGTAGTGATGTGTGTGTTTAACTCACAGAGTTTAACCTTTCTTTTCATACAGCATTCTGGAAACCCTGTGTTTGTAAAGTCTGCAAGTGGATATTTGGACCTCTTAGATGCCTTCGTTGGAAACGGGATTTCTTCATATAATGCTAGAGGGAAGAATTCTTAGTAACTTCTTTGTGTTGTGTGTATTCAACTGACAGAGTTGAACCTTCCTTTAGACAGAGCAGATTTGAAAGTCTCTTTCTGTGGAATTTGCAAGTGGAGATTTCAAGCGCTTTGAGGCCAAAAGCAGAAAAGGAAATATTTTCCTATAAAAACTCGACAGAATCTTTCTCAGAAACTGCTCTGGGATGTGTGCGTTCAACTCACAGAGTTTAACTTTTCTTTTCATTCAGCAGTTTGGAAACACTCTGTTTGGAAAGTCTGCACGTGGATATTTTGACCTCTTTGAGGCCTTCGTTGGAAACGGGTTTTTTTCATGTAAGGCTAGACAGAAGAAATCTCAGTAACTTCCTTGTGTTGTGTGTATTCAACTGACAGAGTTGAACCTTCCTTTAGACAGAGCAGATTCGAAACACTCTTTTTCTGCAATTTGCAAGTGGAGACTTCAAGCGCTTTGAGGCCAAAGGCAGAAAAGGAAATATCTTCGTATAAAAACCCGACAGAATCATTCTCAGAAACTGCTCTGTGATGTGTGCGTTCAACTCACAGAGTTTAACTTTTCTTTTCATTCAGCAGTTTGGAAACACTCTGTTTGTAAAGTCTGCAAGTGGATATCTTGGCCTCTTAGAGGCCTTCGTTGGAAACGGGTTTTTTCATGTAAGGATAAACAGAGGAATTCCCAGTAACTTCCTTGTGTTGTGTGCATTCAACTCACAGAGTTGAATGATTCTTTACACAGAGCAGATTTGAGACACTCTTTTGGTGGAATTTGTAAGTGGAGAATTCAGCCGCTTTGAGGTCAACGGTAGAAAAGGAAATATCTTCGTATAAAAACTAGACAGAATGATTCTCAGAAACTGTTTTGTGATGTGTGCGTTCAACTCACAGAGTTTAACCTTTCTTTTCAGAGAGCAGTTAGGAAACACTCTGTTTGTAAAGTCTGCAAGTGGATATTCAGACCTCTTTGAGGCCTTCGTTGGAAACGGGATTTCTTCATATTATGCTAGACAGATGAATTCTCAGTAACTTCCTTGTGTTGTGTGTATTCAACTCACAGAGTTGAACGATCCTTTACACAGAGCAGATTTGAAACACTGTTTTTCTGGAATTTGCAAGTGGAGATTTCAGCCGCTTTGAGGTCAATGGTAGAAAAGGAAATATCTTCGTATAAAAACTAGACAGAATGATTCTCAGAAACTCCTTTGTGATGTGTGCGTTCAACTCACAGAGTTTAACCTTTCTTTTCACAGAGCAGTTAGGAAACACTCTGTTTGTGAAGCCTGCCAGTGGATATTCGGACCTCTTTGAGGCCTTCGTTGGAAACGGGATTTCTTCATATTATGCTAGACAGAAGATTTCTCAGTAACTTCTTTGTGTTGTGTGTATGCAACTTACAGAGTTCAACCTTCCTTTAGAGAGAGCGTATTTGAAACACTCTTTTTGTGGAATTTGCAAGTGGAGATTTCAAGCGCTTCGATGCAAATGGTAGAAAAGGAAATATCTTCGTAGAAAAACAAGACAAACTCGTTCCCAGACACTGCGTAGTGATGTGTGTGTTTAACTCACAGAGTTTAACCTTTCTTTTCATACAGCATTCTGGAAACCCTGTGTTTGTAAAGTCTGCAAGTGGATATTTGGACCTCTTAGATGCCTTCGTTGGAAACGGGATTTCTTCATATAATGCTAGAGGGAAGAATTCTTAGTAACTTCTTTGTGTTGTGTGTATTCAACTGACAGAGTTGAACCTTCCTTTAGACAGAGCAGATTTGAAAGTCTCTTTTTGTGGAATTTGCAAGTGGAGATTTCAAGCGCTTTGAGGCCAAAAGCAGAAAAGGAAATATTTTCCTATTAAAAACTCGACAGAATCTTTCTCAGAAACTGCTCTGGGATGTGTGCGTTCAACTCACAGAGTTTAACTTTTCTTTTCATTCAGCAGTTTGGAAACACTCTGTTTGGAAAGTCTGCACGTGGATATTTTGACCTCTTTGAGGCCTTCGTTGGAAACGGGTTTTTTTCATGTAAGGCTAGACAGAAGAAATCTCAGTAACTTCCTTGTGTTGTGTGTATTCAACTGACAGAGTTGAACCTTCCTTTAGACAGAGCAGATTCGAAACACTCTTTTTCTGCAATTTGCAAGTGGAGACTTCAAGCGCTTTGAGGCCAAAGGCAGAAAAGGAAATATCTTCGTATAAAAACCCGACAGAATCATTCTCAGAAACTGCTCTGTGATGTGTGCGTTCAACTCACAGAGTTTAACTTTTCTTTTCATTCAGCAGTTTGGAAACACTCTGTTTGTAAAGTCTGCAAGTGGATATCTTGGCCTCTTAGAGGCCTTCGTTGGAAACGGGTTTTTTCATGTAAGGATAGGACAGAGGAATTCCCAGTAACTTTCCTTGTGTTGTGTGCATTCAACTCACAGAGTTGAATGATTCTTTACACAGAGCAGTTTTGAGACACTCTTTTGGTGGAATTTGTAAGTGGAGAATTCAGCCGCTTTGAGGTCAACGGTAGAAAAGGAAATATCTTCGTATAAAAACTAGACAGAATGATTCTCAGAAACTGTTTTGTGATGTGTGCGTTCAACTCACAGAGTTTAACCTTTCTTTTCAAAGAGCAGTTAGGAAACACTCTGTTTGTAAAGTCTGCAAGTGGATATTCAGACCTCTTTGAGGCCTTCGTTGGAAACGGGATTTCTTCATATTATGCTAGACAGATGAATTCTCAGTAACTTCCTTGTGTTGTGTGTATTCAACTCACAGAGTTGAACGATCCTTTACACAGAGCAGATTTGAAACACTGTTTTTCTGGAATTTGCAAGTGGAGATTTCAGCCGCTTTGAGGTCAATGGTAGAAAAGGAAATATCTTCATATAAAAACTAGACAGAATGATTCTCAGAAACTCCTTTGTGATGTGTGCGTTCAACTCACAGAGTTTAACCTTTCTTTTCACAGAGCAGTTAGGAAACACTCTGTTTGTGAAGCCTGCCAGTGGATATTCGGACCTCTTTGAGGCCTTCGTTGGAAACGGGATTTCTTCATATTATGCTAGACAGAAGATTTCTCAGTAACTTCTTTGTGTTGTGTGTATGCAACTCACAGAGTTCAACCTTCCTTTAGACAGAGCAGATTTGAAACACTCTTTTTGTGGAATTTGCAAGTGGAGATTTCAAGCGCTTCGATGCCAATGGTAGAAAAGGAAATATCTTCGTATAAAAACAAGACAAACTCGTTCCCAGACACTGCGTAGTGATGTGTGTGTTTAACTCACAGAGTTTCACCTTTCTTTTCATACAGCATTCTGGAAACCCTCTGTTTGTAAAGTCTGCAAGTGGATATTTGGACCTCTTAGATGCCTTCGTTGGAAACGGGATTTCTTCATATAATGCTAGAGGGAAGAATTCTTAGTAACTTCTTTGTGTTGTGTGTATTCAACTGACAGAGTTGAACCTTCCTTTAGACAGAGCAGATTTGAAAGTCTCTTTTTGTGGAATTTGCAAGTGGAGATTTCAAGCGCTTTGAGGCCAAAAGCAGAAAAGGAAATATTTTCCTATAAAAACTAGACAGAATCATTCTCAGAAACTGCTTTGTGATGTGTGTGTTCAACTCACAGAGTTTAACTTTTCTTTTCATTCAGCAGTTTGGAAACACTCTGTTTGGAAAGTCTGCACGTGGATATTTTGACCTCTTTGAGGCCTTCGTTGGAAACGGGTTTTTTTCATGTAAGGCTAGACAGAAGAAATCTCAGTAACTTCCTTGTGTTGTGTGTATTCAACTGACAGAGTTGAACCTTCCTTTAGACAGAGCAGATTCGAAACACTCTTTTTCTGCAATTTGCAAGTGGAGACTTCAAGCGCTTTGAGGCCAAAGGCAGAAAAGGAAATATCTTCGTATAAAAACCCGACAGAATCATTCTCAGAAACTGCTCTGTGATGTGTGCGTTCAACTCACAGAGTTTAACTTTTCTTTTCATTCAGCAGTTTGGAAACACTCTGTTTGTAAAGTCTGCAAGTGGATATCTTGGCCTCTTAGAGGCCTTCGTTGGAAACGGGTTTTTTCATGTAAGGTTAGACAGAGGAATTCCCAGTAACTTCCTTGTGTTGTGTGCATTCAACTCACAGAGTTGAATGATTCTTTACACAGAGCAGATTTGAGACACTCTTTTGGTGGAATTTGTAAGTGGAGAATTCAGCCGCTTTGAGGTCAACGGTAGAAAAGGAAATATCTTCGTATAAAAACTAGACAGAATGATTCTCAGAAACTGTTTTGTGATGTGTGCTTTCAACTCACAGAGTTTAACCTTTCTTTTCAAAGAGCAGTTAGGAAACACTCTGTTTGTAAAGTCTGCAAGTGGATATTCAGACCTCTTTGAGGCCTTCGTTGGAAACGGGGTTTCTTCATATTATGCTAGACAGATGAATTCTCAGTAACTTCCTTGTGTTGTGTGTATTCAACTCACAGAGTTGAACGATCCTTTACACAGAGCAGATTTGAAACACTGTTTTTCTGGAATTTGCAAGTGGAGATTTCAGCCGCTTTGAGGTCAATGGTAGAAAAGGAAATATCTTCGTATAAAAACTAGACAGAATGATTCTCAGAAACTCCTTTGTGATGTGTGCGTTCAACTCACAGAGTTTAACCTTTCTTTTCACAGAGCAGTTAGGAAACACTCTGTTTGTGAAGCCTGCCAGTGGATATTCGGACCTCTTTGAGGCCTTCGTTGGAAACGGGATTTCTTCATATTATGCTAGACAAAAGATTTCTCAGTAACTTCTTTGTGTTGTGTATATGCAACTCACAGAGTTCAACCTTCCTTTAGACAGAGCAGATTTGAAACACTCTTTTTGTGGAATTTGCAAGTGGAGATTTCAAGCGCTTCGATTCCAATGGTAGAAAAGGAAATATCTTCGTATAAAAACAAGACAAACTCGTTCCCAGACACTGCGTAGTGATGTGTGTGTTTAACTCACAGAGTTTCACCTTTCTTTTCATACAGCATTCTGGAAACCCTCTGTTTGTAAAGTCTGCAAGTGGATACTTGGACCTCTTAGATGCCTTCGTTGGAAACGGGATTTCTTCATATAATGCTAGAGGGAAGAATTCTTAGTAACTTCTTTGTGTTGTGTGTATTCAACTGACAGAGTTGAACCTTCCTTTAGACAGAGCAGATTTGAAAGTCTCTTTTTGTGGAATTTGCAAGTGGAGATTTCAAGCGCTTTGAGGCCAAAAGCAGAAAAGGAAATATTTTCCTATAAAAACTAGACAGAATCTTTCTCAGAAACTGCTCTGGGATGTGTGCGTTCAACTCACAGAGTTTAACTTTTCTTTCCATTCAGCAGTTTGGAAACACTCTGTTTGGAAAGTCTGCACGTGGATATTTTGACCTCTTTGAGGCCTTCGTTGGAAACGGGTTTTTTTCATGTAAGGCTAGACAGAAGAAATCTCAGTAACTTCCTTGTGTTGTGTGTATTCAACTGACAGAGTTGAACCTTCCTTTAGACAGAGCAGATTCGAAACACTCTTTTTCTGCAATTTGCAAGTGGAGACTTCAAGCGCTTTGAGGCCAAAGGCAGAAAAGGAAATATCTTCGTATAAAAACCCGACAGAATCATTCTCAGAAACTGCTCTGTGATGTGTGCGTTCAACTCACAGAGTTTAACTTTTCTTTTCATTCAGCAGTTTGGAAACACTCTGTTTGTAAAGTCTGCAAGTGGATATCTTGGCCTCTTAGAGGCCTTCGTTGGAAACGGGTTTTTTCATGTAAGGATAGACAGAGGAATTCCCAGTAACTTCCTTGTGTTGTGTGCATTCAACTCACAGAGTTGAATGATTCTTTACACAGAGCAGATTTGAGACACTCTTTTGGTGGAATTTGTAAGTGGAGAATTCAGCCGCTTTGAGGTCAACGGTAGAAAAGGAAATATCTTCGTATAAAAACTAGACAGAATGATTCTCAGAAACTGTTTTGTGATGTGTGCGTTCAACTCACAGAGTTTAACCTTTCTTTTCAAAGAGCAGTTAGGAAACACTCTGTTTGTAAAGTCTGCAAGTGGATATTCAGACCTCTTTGAGGCCTTCGTTGGAAACGGGATTTCTTCATATTATGCTAGACAGATGAATTCTCAGTAACTTCCTTGTGTTGTGTGTATTCAACTCACAGAGTTGAACGATCCTTTACACAGAGCAGATTTGAAACACTGTTTTTCTGGAATTTGCAAGTGGAGATTTCAGCCGCTTTGAGGTCAATGGTAGAAAAGGAAATATCTTCGTATAAAAACTAGACAGAATGATTCTCAGAAACTCCTTTGTGATGTGTGCGTTCAACTCACAGAGTTTAACCTTTCTTTTCACAGAGCAGTTAGGAAACACTCTGTTTGTGAAGCCTGCCAGTGGATATTCGGACCTCTTTGAGGCCTTCGTTGGAAACGGGATTTCTTCATATTATGCTAGACAGAAGATTTCTCAGTAACTTCTTTGTGTTGTGTGTATGCAACTCACAGAGTTCAACCTTCCTTTAGACAGAGCAGATTTGAAACACTCTTTTTGTGGAATTTGCAAGTGGAGATTTCAAGCGCTTCGATGCCAATGGTAGAAAAGGAAATATCTTCGTATAAAAACAAGACAAACTCGTTCCCAGACACTGCGTAGTGATGTGTGTGTTTAACTCACAGAGTTTCACCTTTCTTTTCATACAGCATTCTGGAAACCCTCTGTTTGTAAAGTCTGCAAGTGGATATTTGGACCTCTTAGATGCCTTCGTTGGAAACGGGATTTCTTCATATAATGCTAGAGGGAAGAATTCTTAGTAACTTCTTTGTGTTGTGTGTATTCAACTGACAGAGTTGAACCTTCCTTTAGACAGAGCAGATTTGAAAGTCTCTTTTTGTGGAATTTGCAAGTGGAGATTTCAAGCGCTTTGAGGCCAAAAGCAGAAAAGGAAATATTTTCCTATAAAAACTCGACAGAATCTTTCTCAGAAACTGCTCTGGGATGTGTGCGTTCAACTCACAGAGTTTAACTTTTCTTTTCATTCAGCAGTTTGGAAACACTCTGTTTGGAAAGTCTGCACGTGGATATTTTGACCTCTTTGAGGCCTTCGTTGGAAACGGGTTTTTTTCATGTAACGCTAGACAGAAGAAATCTCAGTAACTTCCTTGTGTTGTGTGTATTCAACTGACAGAGTTGAACCTTCCTTTAGACAGAGCAGATTCGAAACACTCTTTTTCTGCAATTTGCAAGTGGAGACTTCAAGCGCTTTGAGGCCAAAGGCAGAAAAGGAAATATCTTCGTATAAAAACCCGACAGAATCATTCTCAGAAACTGCTCTGTGATGTGTGCGTTCAACTCACAGAGTTTAACTTTTCTTTTCATTCAGCAGTTTGGAAACACTCTGTTTGTAAAGTCTGCAAGTGGATATCTTGGCCTCTTAGAGGCCTTCGTTGGAAACGGGTTTTTTCATGTAAGGTTAGACAGAGGAATTCCCAGTAACTTCCTTGTGTTGTGTGCATTCAACTCACAGAGTTGAATGATTCTTTACACAGAGCAGTTTTGAGACACTCTTTTGGTGGAATTTGTAAGTGGAGAATTCAGCCGCTTTGAGGTCAACGGTAGAAAAGGAAATATCTTCGTATAAAAACTAGACAGAATGATTCTCAGAAACTGTTTTGTGATGTGTGCGTTCAACTCACAGAGTTTAACCTTTCTTTTCAAAGAGCAGTTAGGAAACACTCTGTTTGTAAAGTCTGCAAGTGGATATTCAGACCTCTTTGAGGCCTTCGTTGGAAACGGGATTTCTTCATATTATGCTAGACAGATGAATTCTCAGTAACTTCCTTGTGTTGTGTGTATTCAACTCACAGAGTTGAACGATCCTTTACACAGAGCAGATTTGAAACACTGTTTTTCTGGAATTTGCAAGTGGAGATTTCAGCCGCTTTGAGGTCAATGGTAGAAAAGGAAATATCTTCGTATAAAAACTAGACAGAATGATTCTCAGAAACTCCTTTGTGATGTGTGCGTTCAACTCACAGAGTTTAACCTTTCTTTTCACAGAGCAGTTAGGAAACACTCTGTTTGTGAAGCCTGCCAGTGGATATTCGGACCTCTTTGAGGCCTTCGTTGGAAACGGGATTTCTTCATATTATGCTAGACAGAAGATTTCTCAGTAACTTCTTTGTGTTGTGTGTATGCAACTCACAGAGTTCAACCTTCCTTTAGACAGAGCAGATTTGAAACACTCTTTTTGTGGAATTTGCAAGTGGAGATTTCAAGCGCTTCGATGCCAGTGGTAGAAAAGGAAATATCTTCGTATAAAAACAAGACAAAATGATTCTCAGAAACTCCTTCGTGATGTGTGCTTTCAACTCACTGAGTTTAACCTTTCTTTTCATACAGCATTCTGGAAACACTCTGTTTGTAAAGTCTGCAAGTGGATATCTGGACCTCTTAGATGTCTTCTTTGGAAACGGGATTTCTCCATATAATGCTAGAGGGAAGAATTCTTAGTAACTTCTTTGTGTTGTGTGTATTCAACTGACAGAGTTGAACCTTCCTTTAGACAGAGCAGATTTGAAAGTCTCTTTTTGTGGAATTTGCAAGTGGAGATTTCAAGCGCTTTGAGGCCAAAAGCAGAAAAGGAAATATTTTCCTATAAAAACTCGACAGAATCTTTCTCAGAAACTGCTCTGGGATGTGTGCGTTCAACTCACAGAGTTTAACTTTTCTTTTCATTCAGCAGTTTGGAAACACTCTGTTTGGAAAGTCTGCACGTGGATATTTTGACCTCTTTGAGGCCTTCGTTGGAAACGGGTTTTTTTCATGTAAGGCTAGACAGAAGAAATCTCAGTAACTTCCTTGTGTTGTGTGTATTCAACTGACAGAGTTGAACCTTCCTTTAGACAGAGCAGATTCGAAACACTCTTTTTCTGCAATTTGCAAGTGGAGACTTCAAGCGCTTTGAGGCCAAAGGCAGAAAAGGAAATATCTTCGTATAAAAACCCGACAGAATCATTCTCAGAAACTGCTCTGTGATGTGTGCGTTCAACTCACAGAGTTTAACTTTTCTTTTCATTCAGCAGTTTGGAAACACTCTGTTTGTAAAGTCTGCAAGTGGATATCTTGGCCTCTTAGAGGCCTTCGTTGGAAATGGGTTTTTTCATGTAAGGTTAGACAGAGGAATTCCCAGTAACTTCGTTGTGTTGTGTGCATTCAACTCACAGAGTTGAATAATTCTTTACACAGAGCAGATTTGAGACACTCTTTTGGTGGAATTTGTAAGTGGAGAATTCAGCTGCTTTGAGGTCAACGGTAGAAAAGGAAATATCTTCGTATAAAAACTAGACAGAATGATTCTCAGAAACTGTTTTGGATGTGTGCGTTCAACTCACAGAGTTTAACCTTTCTTTTCAAAGAGCAGTTAGGAAACACTCTGTTTGTAAAGTCTGCAAGTGGATATTCAGACCTCTTTGAGGCCTTCGTTGGAAACGGGATTTCTTCATATTATGCTAGACAGATGAATTCTCAGTAAGTTCCTTGTGTTGTGTGTATTCAACTCACAGAGTTGAACGATCCTTTACACAGAGCAGATTTGAAACACTGTTTTTCTGGAATTTGCAAGTGGAGATTTCAGCTGCTTTGAGGTCAATGGTAGAAAAGGAAATATCTTCGTATAAAAACTAGACAGAATGATTCTCAGAAACTCCTTTGTGATGTGTGCTGTTCAACTCACAGAGTTTAACCTTTCTTTTCACAGAGCAGTTAGGAAACACTCTGTTTGTGAAGCCTGCCAGTGGATATTCGGACCTCTTTGAGGCCTTCGTTGGAAACGGGATTTCTTCATATTATGCTAGACAGAAGATTTCTCAGTAACTTCTTTGTGTTGTGTGTATGCAACTCACAGAGTTCAACCTTCCTTTAGACAGAGCAGATTTGAAACACTCTCTTTGTGGAATTTGCAAGTGGAGATTTCAAGCGCTTCGATGCCAATGGTAGAAAAGGAAATATCTTCGTATAAAAACAAGACAAACTCGTTCCCAGACACTGCGTAGTGATGTGTGTGTTTAACTCACAGAGTTTCACCTTTCTTTTCATACAGCATTCTGGAAACCCTCTGTTTGTAAAGTCTGCAAGTGGATATTTGGACCTCTTAGATGCCTTCGTTGGAAACGGGATTTCTTCATATAATGCTAGAGGGAAGAATTCTTAGTAACTTCTTTGTGTTGTGTGTATTCAACTGACAGAGTTGAACCTTCCTTTAGACAGAGCAGATTTGAAAGTCTCTTTTTGTGGAATTTGCAAGTGGAGATTTCAAGCGCTTTGAGGCCAAAAGCAGAAAAGGAAATATTTTCCTATAAAAACTCGACAGAATCTTTCTCAGAAACTGCTCTGGGATGTGTGCGTTCAACTCACAGAGTTTAACTTTTCTTTTCATTCAGCAGTTTGGAAACACTCTGTTTGGAAAGTCTGCACGTGGATATTTTGACCTCTTTGAGGCCTTCGTTGGAAACGGGTTTTTTTCATGTAAGGCTAGACAGAAGAAATCTCAGTAACTTCCTTGTGTTGTGTGTATTCAACTGACAGAGTTGAACCTTCCTTTAGACAGAGCAGATTCGAAACACTCTTTTTCTGCAATTTGCAAGTGGAGACTTCAAGCGCTTTGAGGCCAAAGGCAGAAAAGGAAATATCTTCGTATAAAAACCCGACAGAATCACTCTCAGAAACTGCTCTGTGATGTGTGCGTTCAACTCACAGAGTTTAACTTTTCTTTTCATTCAGCAGTTTGGAAACACTCTGTTTGTAAAGTCTGCAAGTGGATATCTTGGCCTCTTAGAGGCCTTCGTTGGAAACGGGTTTTTTCATGTAAGGATAGACAGAGGAATTCCCAGTAACTTCCTTGTGTTGTGTGCATTCAACTCACAGAGTTGAATGATTCTTTACACAGAGCAGATTTGAGACACTCTTTTGGTGGAATTTGTAAGTGGAGAATTCAGCCGCTTTGAGGTCAACGGTAGAAAAGGAAATATCTTCGTATAAAAACTAGACAGAATGATTCTCAGAAACTGTTTTGTGATGTGTGCGTTCAACTCACAGAGTTTAACCTTTCTTTTCAAAGAGCAGTTAGGAAACACTCTGTTTGTAAAGTCTGCAAGTGGATATTCAGACCTCTTTGAGGCCTTCGTTGGAAACGGGATTTCTTCATATTATGCTAGACAGATGAATTCTCAGTAACTTCCTTGTGTTGTGTGTATTCAACTCACAGAGTTGAACGATCCTTTACACAGAGCAGATTTGAAACACTGTTTTTCTGGAATTTGCAAGTGGAGATTTCAGCCGCTTTGAGGTCAATGGTAGAAAAGGAAATATCTTCGTATAAAAACTAGACAGAATGATTCTCAGAAACTCCTTTGTGATGTGTGCGTTCAACTCACAGAGTTTAACCTTTCTTTTCACAGAGCAGTTAGGAAACACTCTGTTTGTGAAGCCTGCCAGTGGATATTCGGACCTCTTTGAGGCCTTCGTTGGAAACGGGATTTCTTCATATTATGCTAGACAGAAGATTTCTCAGTAACTTCTTTGTGTTGTGTGTATGCAACTCACAGAGTTCAACCTTCCTTTAGACAGAGCAGATTTGAAACACTCTTTTTGTGGAATTTGCAAGTGGAGATTTCAAGCGCTTCGATGCCAATGGTAGAAAAGGAAATATCTTCGTATAAAAACAAGACAAACTCGTTCCCAGACACTGCGTAGTGATGTGTGTGTTTAACTCACAGAGTTTCACCTTTCTTTTCATACAGCATTCTGGAAACCCTCTGTTTGTAAAGTCTGCAAGTGAATATTTGGACCTCTTAGATGCCTTCGTTGGAAACGGGATTTCTTCATATAATGCTAGAGGGAAGAATTCTTAGTAACTTCTTTGTGTTGTGTGTATTCAACTGACAGAGTTGAACCTTCCTTTAGACAGAGCAGATTTGAAAGTCTCTTTTTGTGGAATTTGCAAGTGGAGATTTCAAGCGCTTTGAGGCCAAAAGCAGAAAAGGAAATATTTTCCTATAAAAACTAGACAGAATCTTTCTCAGAAACTGCTCTGGGATGTGTGCGTTCAACTCACAGAGTTTAACTTTTCTTTTCATTCAGCAGTTTGGAAACACTCTGTTTGGAAAGTCTGCACGTGGATATTGTGACCTCTTTGAGGCCTTCGTTGGAAACGGGTTTTTTTCATGTAAGGCTAGACAGAAGAAATCTCAGTAACTTCCTTGTGTTGTGTGTATTCAACTGACAGAGTTGAACCTTCTTTTAGACAGAGCAGATTCGAAACACTCTTTTTCTGCAATTTGCAAGTGGAGACTTCAAGCGCTTTGAGGCCAAAGGCAGAAAAGGAAATATCTTCGTATAAAAACCCGACAGAATCATTCTCAGAAACTGCTCTGTGATGTGTGCGTTCAACTCACAGAGTTTAACTTTTCTTTTCATTCAGCAGTTTGGAAACACTCTGTTTGTAAAGTCTGCAAGTGGATATCTTGGCCTCTTAGAGGCCTTCGTTGGAAACGGGTTTTTTCATGTAAGGTTAGACAGAGGAATTCCCAGTAACTTCCTTGTGTTGTGTGCATTCAACTCACAGAGTTGAATGATTCTTTACACAGAGCAGATTTGAGACACTCTTTTGGTGGAATTTGTAAGTGGAGAATTCAGCCGCTTTGAGGTCAACGGTAGAAAAGGAAATATCTTCGTATAAAAACTAGACAGAATGATTCTCAGAAACTGTTTTGTGATGTGTGCGTTCAACTCACAGAGTTTAACCTTTCTTTTCAAAGAGCAGTTAGGAAACACTCTGTAAAGTCTGCAAGTGGATATTCAGACCTCTTTGAGGCCTTCGTTGGAAACGGGATTTCTTCATATTATGCTAGACAGATGAATTCTCAGTAACTTCCTTGTGTTGTGTGTATTCAACTCACAGAGTTGAACGATCCTTTACACAGAGCAGATTTGAAACACTGTTTTTCTGGAATTTGCAAGTGGAGATTTCAGCCGCTTTGAGGTCAATGGTAGAAAAGGAAATATCTTCGTATAAAAACTAGACAGAATGATTCTCAGAAACTCCTTTGTGATGTGTGCGTTCAACTCACAGAGTTTAACCTTTCTTTTCACAGAGCAGTTAGGAAACACTCTGTTTGTGAAGCCTGCCAGTGGATATTCAGACCTCTTTCAGGCCTTCGTTGGAAACGGGATTTCTTCATATTATGCTAGACAGAAGATTTCTCAGTAACTTCTTTGTGTTGTGTGTATGCAACTCACAGAGTTCAACCTTCCTTTAGAAAGAGCAGATTTGAAACACTCTTTTTGTGGAATTTGCAAGTGGAGATTTCAAGCGCTTCGATGCCAATGGTAGAAAAGGAAATATCTTCGTATAAAAACAAGACAAACTCGTTCCCAGACACTGCGTAGTGATGTGTGTGTTTAACTCACAGAGTTTCACCTTTCTTTTCATACAGCATTCTGGAAACCCTCTGTTTGTAAAGTCTGCAAGTCGATATTTGGACCTCTTAGATGCCTTCGTTGGAAACGGGATTTCTTCATATAATGCTAGAGGGAAGAATTCTTAGTAACTTCTTTGTGTTGTGTGTATTCAACTGACAGAGTTGAACCTTCCTTTAGACAGAGCAGATTTGAAAGTCTCTTTTTGTGGAATTTGCAAGTGGAGATTTCAAGCGCTTTGAGGCCAAAAGCAGAAAAGGAAATATTTTCCTATAAAAACTCGACAGAATCTTTCTCAGAAACTGCTCTGGGATGTGTGCGTTCAACTCACAGAGTTTAACTTTTCTTTTCATTCAGCAGTTTGGAAACACTCTGTTTGGAAAGTCTGCACGTGGATATTTTGACCTCTTTGAGGCCTTCGTTGGAAACGGGTTTTTTTCATGTAAGGCTAGACAGAAGAAATCTCAGTAACTTCCTTGTGTTGTGTGTATTCAACTGACAGAGTTGAACCTTCCTTTAGACAGAGCAGATTCGAAACACTCTTTTTCTGCAATTTGCAAGTGGAGACTTCAAGCGCTTTGAGGCCAAAGGCAGAAAAGGAAATATCTTCGTATAAAAACCCGACAGAATCATTCTCAGAAACTGCTCTGTGATGTGTGCGTTCAACTCACAGAGTTTAACTTTTCTTTTCATTCAGCAGTTTGGAAACACTCTGTTTGTAAAGTCTGCAAGTGGATATCTTGGCCTCCTTAGAGGCCTTCGTTGGAAACGGGTTTTTTCATGTAAGGATAGACAGAGTAATTCCCAGTAACTTCCTTGTGTTGTGTGCATTCAACTCACAGAGTTGAATGATTCTTTACACAGAGCAGTTTTGAGACACTCTTTTGGTGGAATTTGTAAGTGGAGAATTTAGCCGCTTTGAGGTCAACGGTAGAAAAGGAAATATCTTCGTATAAAAACTAGACAGAATGATTCTCAGAAAATGTTTTGTGATGTGTGCGTTCAACTCACAGAGTTTAACCTTTCTTTTCAAAGAGCAGTTAGGAAACACTCTGTTTGTAAAGTCTGCAAGAGGATATTCAGACCTCTTTGAGGCCTTCGTTGGAAACGGGATTTCTTCATATTATGCTAGACAGATGAATTCTCAGTAACTTCCTTGTGTTGTGTGTATTCAACTCACAGAGTTGAACGATCCTTTACACAGAGCAGATTTGAAACACTGTTTTTCTGGAATTTGCAAGTGGAGATTTCAGCCGCTTTGAGGTCAATGGTAGAAAAAGAAATATCTTCGTATAAAAACTAGACAGAATGATTCTCAGAAACTCCTTTGTGATGTGTGCGTTCAACTCACAGAGTTTAACCTTTCTTTTCACAGAGCAGTTAGGAAACACTCTGTTTGTGAAGCCTGCCAGTGGATATTCGGACCTCTTTGAGGCCTTCGTTGGAAACGGGATTTCTTCATATTATGCTAGACAGAAGATTTCTCAGTAACTTCTTTGTGTTGTGTGTATGCAACTCACAGAGTTCAACCTTCCTTTAGACAGAGCAGATTTGAAACACTCTTTTTGTGGAATTTGCAAGTGGAGATTTCAAGCGCTTTGAGGCCAAAAGCAGAAAAGGAAATATTTTCCTATAAAAACTAGACAGAATCTTTCTCAGAAACTGCTCTGTGATGTGTGCGTTCAACTCACAGAGTTTAACTTTTCTTTTCATTCAGCAGTTTGGAAACACTCTGTTTGTAAAGTCTGCAAGTGGATATCTTGGCCTCTTAGAGGCCTTCGTTGGAAAAGGGTTTTTTCATGTAAGGATAGACAGAGGAATTCCCAGTAACTTCCTTGTGTTGTGTGCATTCAACTCACAGAGTTGAATGATTCTTTACACAGAGCAGATTTGAGACACTCTTTTGGTGGAATTTGTAAGTGGAGAATTCAGCCGCTTTGAGGTCAACGGTAGAAAAGGAAATATCTTCGTATAAAAACTAGACAGAATGATTCTCAGAAACTGTTTTGTGATGTGTGCGTTCAACTCACAGAGTTTAACCTTTCTTTTCAAAGAGCAGTTAGGAAACACTCTGTTTGTAAAGTCTGCAAGTGGATATTCAGACCTCTTTGAGGCCTTCGTTGGAAACGGGATTTCTTCATATTATGCTAGACAGATGAATTCTCAGTAACTTCCTTGTGTTGTGTGTATTCAACTCACAGAGTTGAACGATCCTTTACACAGAGCAGATTTGAAACACTGTTTTTCTGGAATTTGCAAGTGGAGATTTCAGCCGCTTTGAGGTCAATGGTAGAAAAAGAAATATCTTCGTATAAAAACTAGACAGAATGATTCTCAGAAACTCCTTTGTGATGTGTGCGTTCAACTCACAGAGTTTAACCTTTCTTTTCACAGAGCAGTTAGGAAACACTCTGTTTGTGAAGCCTGCCAGTGGATATTCGGACCTCTTTGAGGCCTTCGTTGGAAACGGGATTTCTTCATATTATGCTAGACAGAAGATTTCTCAGTAACTTCTTTGTGTTGTGTGTATGCACCTCACAGAGTTCAACCTTCCTTTAGACAGAGCAGATTTGAAACACTCTTTTTGTGGAATTTGCAAGTGGAGATTTCAAGCGCTTCGATGCCAATGGTAGAAAAGGAAATATCTTCGTATAAAAACAAGACAAACTCGTTCCCAGACACTGCGTAGTGATGTGTGTGTTTAACTCACAGAGTTTCACCTTTCTTTTCATACAGCATTCTGGAAACCCTCTGTTTGTAAAGTCTGCAAGTGGATATTTGGACCTCTTAGATGCCTTCGTTGGAAACGGGATTTCTTCATATAATGCTAGAGGGAAGAATTCTTAGTAACTTCTTTGTGTTGTGTGTATTCAACTGACAGAGTTGAACCTTCCTTTAGACAGAGCAGATTTGAAAGTCTCTTTTTGTGGAATTTGCAAGTGGAGATTTCAAGCGCTTTGAGGCCAAAAGCAGAAAAGGAAATATTTTCCTATAAAAACTAGACAGAATCATTCTCAGAAACTGCTCTGTGATGTGTGTGTTCAACTCAGAGAGTTTAACTTTCTTTTCATTCAGCAGTTTGGAAACACTCTGTTTGGAAAGTCTGCACGTGGATATTTTGACCTCTTTGAGGCCTTCGTTGGAAACGAGTTTTTTTCATGTAAGGCTAGACAGAAGAAATCTCAGTAACTTCCTTGTGTTGTGTGTATTCAACTGACAGGGTTGAACCTTCCTTTAGACAGAGCAGATTCGAAACACTCTTTTTCTGCAATTTGCAAGTGGAGACTTCAAGCGCTTTGAGGCCAAAGGCAGAAAAGGAAATATCTTCGTATAAAAACCCGACAGAATCATTCTCAGAAACTGCTCTGTGATGTGTGCGTTCAACTCACAGAGTTTAACTTTTCTTTTCATTCAGCAGTTTGGAAACACTCTGTTTGTAAAGTCTGCAAGTGGATATCTTGGCCTCTTAGAGGCCTTCGTTGGAAACGGGTTTTTTCATGTAAGGTTAGACAGAGGAATTCCCAGTAACTTCCTTGTGTTGTGTGCATTCAACTCACAGAGTTGAATGATTCTTTACACAGAGCAGATTTGAGACACTCTTTTGGTGGAATTTGTAAGTGGAGAATTCAGCCGCTTTGAGGTCAACGGTAGAAAAGGAAATATCTTCGTATAAAAACTAGACAGAATGATTCTCAGAAACTGTTTTGTGATGTGTGCGTTCAACTCACAGAGTTTAACCTTTCTTTTCAAAGAGCAGTTAGGAAACACTCTGTTTGTAAAGTCTGCAAGTGGATATTCAGACCTCTTTGAGGCCTTCGTTGGAAACGGGATTTCTTCATATTATGCTAGACAGATGAATTCTCAGTAACTTCCTTGTGTTGTGTGTATTCAACTCACAGAGTTGAACGATCCTTTACACAGAGCAGATTTGAAACACTGTTTTTCTGGAATTTGCAAGTGGAGATTTCAGCCGCTTTGAGGTCAATGGTAGAAAAGGAAATATCTTCGTATAAAAACTGGACAGAATGATTCTCAGAAACTCCTTTGTGATGTGTGCGTTCAACTCACAGAGTTTAACCTTTCTTTTCACAGAGCAGTTAGGAAACACTCTGTTTGTGAAGCCTGCCAGTGGATATTCGGACCTCTTTGAGGCCTTCGTTGGAAACGGGATTTCTTCATATTATGCTAGACAGAAGATTTCTCAGTAACTTCTTTGTGTTGTGTGTATGCAACTCACAGAGTTCAACCTTCCTTTAGACAGAGCAGATTTGAAACACTCTTTTTGTGGAATTTGCAAGTGGAGATTTCAAGCGCTTCGATGCCAATGGTAGAAAAGGAAATATCTTCGTATAAAAACAAGACAAACTCGTTCCCAGACACTGCGTAGTGATGTGTGTGTTTAACTCACAGAGTTTAACCTTTCTTTTCATACAGCATTCTGGAAACCCTCTGTTTGTAAAGTCTGCAAGTGGATATTTGGACCTCTTAGATGCCTTCGTTGGAAACGGGATTTCTTCATATAATGCTAGAGGGAAGAATTCTTAGTAACTTCTTTGTGTTGTGTGTATTCAACTGACAGAGTTGAACCTTCCTTTAGACAGAGCAGATTTGAAAGTCTCTTTTTGTGGAATTTGCAAGTGGAGATTTCAAGCGCTTTGAGGCCAAAAGCAGAAAAGGAAATATTTTCCTATAAAAACTCGACAGAATCTTTCTCAGAAACTGCTCTGGGATGTGTGCGTTCAACTCACAGAGTTTAACTTTTCTTTCCATTCAGCACTTTGGAAACACTCTGTTTGGAAAGTCTGCACGTGGATATTTTGACCTCTTTGAGGCCTTCGTTGGAAACGGGTTTTTTTCATGTAAGGCTAGACAGAAGAAATCTCAGTAACTTCCTTGTGTTGTGTGTATTCAACTGACAGAGTTGAACCTTCCTTTAGACAGAGCAGATTCGAAACACTCTTTTTCTGCAATTTGCAAGTGGAGACTTCAAGCGCTTTGAGGCCAAAGGCAGAAAAGGAAATATCTTCGTATAAAAACCCGACAGAATCATTCTCAGAAACTGCTCTGTGATGTGTGCGTTCAACTCACAGAGTTTAACTTTTCTTTTCATTCAGCAGTTTGGAAACACTCTGTTTGTAAAGTCTGCAAGTGGATATCTTGGCCTCTTAGAGGCCTTCGTTGGAAACGGGTTTTTTCATGTAAGGTTAGACAGAGGAATTCCCAGTAACTTCCTTGTGTTGTGTGCATTCAACTCACAGAGTTGAATGATTCTTTACACAGAGCAGATTTGAGACACTCTTTTGGTGGAATTTGTAAGTGGAGAATTCAGCCGCTTTGAGGTCAACGGTAGAAAAGCAAATATCTTCGCATAAAAACTAGACAGAATGATTCTCAGAAACTGTTTTGTGATGTGTGCGTTCAACTCACAGAGTTTAACCTTTCTTTTCAAAGAGCAGTTAGGAAACACTCTGTTTGTAAAGTCTGCAAGTGGATATTCAGACCTCTTTGAGGCCTTCGTTGGAAACGGGATTTCTTCATATTATGCTAGACAGATGAATTCTCAGTAACTTCCTTGTGTTGTGTGTATTCAACTCACAGAGTTGAACGATCCTTTACACAGAGCAGATTTGAAACACTGTTTTTCTGGAATTTGCAAGTGGAGATTTCAGCCGCTTTGAGGTCAATGGTAGAAAAGGAAATATCTTCGTATAAAAACTAGACAGAATGATTCTCAGAAACTCCTTTGTGATGTGTGCGTTCAACTCACAGAGTTTAACCTTTCTTTTCACAGAGCAGTTAGGAAACACTCTGTTTGTGAAGCCTGCCAGTGGATATTCGGACCTCTTTGAGGCCTTCGTTGGAAACGGGATTTCTTCATATTATGCTAGACAGAAGATTTCTCAGTAACTTCTTTGTGTTGTGTGTATGCAACTCACAGAGTTCAACCTTCCTTTAGACAGAGCAGATTTGAAACACTCTTTTTGTGGAATTTGCAAGTGGAGATTTCAAGCGCTTCGATGCCAATGGTAGAAAAGGAAATATCTTCGTATAAAAACAAGACAAACTCGTTCCCAGACACTGCGTAGTGATGTGTGTGTTTAACTCACAGAGTTTAACCTTTCTTTTCATACAGCATTCTGGAAACCCTCTGTTTGTAAAGTCTGCAAGTGGATATTTGGACCTCTTAGATGCCTTCGTTGGAAACGGGATTTCTTCATATAATGCTAGAGGGAGAATTCTTAGTAACTTCTTTGTGTTGTGTGTATTCAACTGACAGAGTTGAACCTTCCTTTAGACAGAGCAGATTTGAAAGTCTCTTTTTGTGGAATTTGCAAGTGGAGATTTCAAGCGCTTTGAGGCCAAAAGCAGAAAAGGAAATATTTTCCTATAAAAACTCGACAGAATCTTTCTCAGAAACTGCTCTGGGATGTGTGCGTTCAACTCACAGAGTTTAACTTTTCTTTTCATTCAGCAGTTTGGAAACACTCTGTTTGGAAAGTCTGCACGTGGATATTTTGACCTCTTTGAGGCCTTCGTTGGAAACGGGTTTTTTTCATGTAAGGCTAGACAGAAGAAATCTCAGTAACTTCCTTGTGTTGTGTGTATTCAACTGACAGAGTTGAACCTTCCTTTAGACAGAGCAGATTCGAAACACTCTTTTTCTGCAATTTGCAAGTGGAGACTTCAAGCGCTTTGAGGCCAAAGGCAGAAAAGGAAATATCTTCGTATAAAAACCCGACAGAATCATTCTCAGAAACTGCTCTGTGATGTGTGCGTTCAACTCACAGAGTTTAACTTTTCTTTTCATTCAGCAGTTTGGAAACACTCTGTTTGTAAAGTCTGCAAGTGGATATCTTGGCCTCTTAGAGGCCTTCGTTGGAAGCGGGTTTTTTCATGTAAGGATAGACAGAGGAATTCCCAGTAACTTCCTTGTGTTGTGTGCATTCAACTCACAGAGTTGAATGATTCTTTACACAGAGCACATTTGAGACACTCTTTTGGTGGAATTTGTAAGTGGAGAATTCAGCCGCTTTGAGGTCAACGGTAGAAAAGGAAATATCTTCGTATAAAAACTAGACAGAATGATTCTCAGAAACTGTTTTGTGATGTGTGCGTTCAACTCACAGAGTTTAACCTTTCTTTTCAAAGAGCAGTTAGGAAACACTCTGTTTGTAAAGTCTGCAAGTGGATATTCAGACCTCTTTGAGGCCTTCGTTGGAAACGGGATTTCTTCATATTATGCTAGACAGATGAATTCTCAGTAACTTCCTTGTGTTGTGTGTATTCAACTCACAGAGTTGAACGATCCTTTACACAGAGCAGATTTGAAACACTGTTTTTCTGGAATTTGCAAGTGGAGATTTCAGCCGCTTTGAGGTCAATGGTAGAAAAGGAAATATCTTCGTATAAAAACTAGACAGAATGATTCTCAGAAACTCCTTTGTGATGTGTGCGTTCAACTCACAGAGTTTAACCTTTCTTTTCACAGAGCAGTTAGGAAACACTCTGTTTGTGAAGCCTGCCAGTGGATATTCGGACCTCTTTGAGGCCTTCGTTGGAAACGGGATTTCTTCATATTATGCTAGACAGAAGATTTCTCAGTAACTTCTTTGTGTTGTGTGTATGCAACTCACAGAGTTCAACCTTCCTTTAGACAGAGCAGATTTGAAACACTCTTTTTGTGGAATTTGCAAGTGGAGATTTCAAGCGCTTCGATGCCAATGGTAGAAAAGGAAATATCTTCGTATAAAAACAAGACAAACTCGTTCCCAGACACTGCGTAGTGATGTGTGTGTTTAACTCACAGAGTTTCACCTTTCTTTTCATACAGCATTCTGGAAACCCTGTGTTTGTAAAGTCTGCAAGTGGATATTTGGACCTCTTAGATGCCTTCGTTGGAAACGGGATTTCTTCATATAATGCTAGAGGGAAGAATTCTTAATAACTTCTTTGTGTGGTGTGTATTCAACTGACAGAGTTGAACCTTCCTTTAGACAGAGCAGATTTGAAAGTCTCTTTTTGTGGAATTTGCAAGTGGAGATTTCAAGCGCTTTGAGGCCAAAAGCAGAAAAGGAAATATTTTCCTATAAAAACTCGACAGAATCATTCTCAGAAACTGCTCTGTGATGTGTGCGTTCAACTCACAGAGTTTAACTTTTCTTTTCATTCAGCAGTTTGGAAACACTCTGTTTGTAAAGTCTGCCGTGGATATTTTGACCTCTTTGAGGCCTTGGTTGGAAACGGGATTTTTTCATGTAAGGCTAGACAGAGGAAATCTCAGTAACTTCCTTGTGTTGTGTGTATTCAACTGACAGGGTTGAACCTTCCTTTAGACAGAGCAGATTCCAAACACTCTTTTTCTGCAATTTGCAAGTGGAGACTTCAAGCGCTTTGAGGCCAAAGGCAGAAAAGGAAATATCTTCGTATAAAAACCCGACAGAATCATTCTCAGAAACTGCTCTGTGATGTGCGCGTTCAACTCACAGAGTTTAACTTTTCTTTTCATTCAGCAGTTTGGAAACACTCTGTTTGTAAAGTCTGCAAGTGGATATATTGGCCTCTTAGAGGCCTTCGTTGGAAACGGGTTTTTTTCATGTAAGGTTAGACAGAGGAATTCCCAGTAACTTCCTTGTGCTGTGTGCATTCAACTCACAGAGTTGAATGATTCTTTACACAGAGCAGATTTGAGACACTCTTTTGGTGGAATTTGTAAGTGGAGAATTCAGCCGCTTTGAGGTCAATGGTAGAAAAGGAAATATCTTCGTATAAAAACTAGACAGAATGATTCTCAGAAACTGTTTTGTGATGTGTGTGTTCAACTCACAGAGTTTAACCTTTCTTTTCAAAGAGCAGTTAGGAAACACTCTGTTTGTAAAGTCTGCAAGTGGATATTCAGACCTCTTTGAGGCCTTCGTTGGAAACGGGATTTCTTCATATTATGCTAGACAGAAGAATTCTCAGTAACTTCCTTGTGTTGTGTGTATTCAACTCACAGAGTTGAACGATCCTTTACACAGAGCAGATTTGAAACACTCTTTTTCTGGAATTTGCAAGTGGAGATTTCAGCCGCTTTGAGGTCAATGGTAGAAAAGGAAATATCTTCGTATAAAAACTAGACAGAATGATTCTCAGAAACTCCTTTGTGATGTGTGCGTTCAACTCACAGAGTTTAACCTTTCTTTTCTCAGAGCAGTTAGGAAACACTCTGTGAAGTCTGCCAGTGGATATTCGGACCTCTTTGAGGCCTTCGTTGGAAACGGGATTTCTTCATATTATGCTAGACAGATTTCTCAGTAACTACTTTGTGTTGTGTGTATGCAACTCACAGAGTTCATCCTTCCTTTACACAGAGCAGATTTGAAACACTCTTTTTGTGGAATTTGCAAGTGGAGATTTCAAGCGCTTCGACGCCAATGGTCGAAAAGGAAATATCTTCGTATAAAAACAAGACAAAATCATTCCCAGAAACTGCGTAGTGATGTGTGTGTTTAACTCACAGACTTTAACCTTTCTTTTCATACAGAACTCTGGAAACCCTCTGTTTGTAAAGTCTGCAAGTGTATATTTGGACCTCTTAGATGCCTTCGTTGGAAATGGGATTTCGTCATATAATGGTAGAGGGAAGAGTTCTCAGTAACTTCTTTGTGTTGTGTGTATTCAACTGACAGAGTTGAACCTTCCTTTAGACAGAGCAGGTTTGAAAGTCTCTTTTTGTGGAATTTGCAAGTGGAGATTTCAAGCACTTTGAGGCCAAAAGCAGAAAAGGAAATATTTTCCTATAAAAACTAGACAGAATCTTTCTCAGAAACTGCTCTGGGATGTGTGCGTTCAACTCACAGAGTTTAACTTTTCTTTTCATTCAGCAGTTTGGAAACACTCTGTTTGGAAAGTCTGCACGTGGATATTTTGACATCTTTGAGGCCTTCGTTGGAAACGGGTTTTTTTCATGTAAGGCTAGACAGAAGAAATCTCAGTAACTTCCTTGTGTTGTGTGTATTCAACTGACAGAGTTGAACCTTCCTTTAGACAGAGCAGATTCGAAACACTCTTTTTCTGCAATTTGCAAGTGGAGACTTCAAGCGCTTTGAGGCCAAAGGCAGAAAAGGAAATATCTTCGTATAAAAACCCGACAGAATCATTCTCAGAAACTGCTCTGTGATGTGTGCGTTCAACTCACAGAGTTTAACTTTTCTTTTCATTCAGCAGTTTGGAAACACTCTGTTTGTAAAGTCTGCAAGTGGATATCTTGGCCTCTTAGAGGCCTTCGTTGGAAACGGGTTTTTTCATGTAAGGATAGACAGAGGAATTCCCAGTAACTTCCTTGTGTTGTGTGCATTTAACTCACAGAGTTGAATGATTCTTTACACAGAGCAGATTTGAGACACTCTTTTGGTGGAATTTGTAAGTGGAGAATTCAGCCACTTTGAGGTCAACGGTAGAAAAGGAAATATCTTCGTATAAAAACTAGACAGAATGATTCTCAGAAACTGTTTTGTGATGTGTGCGTTCAACTCACAGAGTTTAACCTTTCTTTTCAAAGAGCAGTTAGGAAACACTCTGTTTGTAAAGTCTGCAAGTGGATATTCAGACCTCTTTGAGGCCTTCGTTGGAAACGGGATTTCTTCATATTATGCTAGACAGATGAATTCTCAGTAACTTCCTTGTGTTGTGTGTATTCAACTCACAGAGTTGAACGATCCTTTACACAGAGCAGATTTGAAACACTGTTTTTCTGGAATTTGCAAGTGGAGATTTCAGCCGCTTTGAGGTCAATGGTAGAAAAGGAAATATCGTCGTATAAAAACTAGACAGAATGATTCTCAGAAACTCCTTTGTGATGTGTGCGTTCAACTCACAGAGTTTAACCTTTCTTTTCACAGAGCAGTTAGGAAACACTCTGTTTGTGAAGCCTGCCAGTGGATAATCGGACCTCTTTGAGGCCTTCGTTGGAAACGGGATTTCTTCATATTATGCTAGACAGAAGATTTCTCAGTAACTTCTTTGGGTTGTGTGTATGCAACTCACAGAGTTCAACCTTCCTTTAGACAGAGCAGATTTGAAACACTCTTTTTGTGGAATTTGCAAGTGGAGATTTCAAGCGCTTCGATGCCAATGGTAGAAAAGGAAATATCTTCGTATAAAAACAAGACAAACTCGTTCCCAGACACTGCGTAGTGATGTGTGTGTTTAACTCACAGAGATTAACCTTTCTTTTCATACAGCATTCTGGAAACCCTGTGTTTGTAAAGTCTGCAAGTGGATATTTGGACCTCTTAGATGCCTTCGTTGGAAACGGGATTTCTTCATATAATGCTAGAGGGAAGAATTCTTAGTAACTTCTTTGTGTTGTGTGTATTCAACTGACAGAGTTGAACCTTCCTTTAGACAGAGCAGATTTGAAAGTCTCTTTCTGTGGAATTTGCAAGTGGAGATTTCAAGCGCTTTGAGGCCAAAAGCAGAAAAGGAAATATTTTCCTATAAAAACTCGACAGAATCTTTCTCAGAAACTGCTCTGGGATGTGTGCGTTCAACTCACAGAGTTTAACTTTTCTTTTCATTCAGCAGTTTGGAAACACTCTGTTTGGAAAGTCTGCACGTGGATATTTTGACCTCTTTGAGGCCTTCGTTGGAAACGGGTTTTTTTCATGTAAGGCTAGACAGAAGAAATCTCAGTAACTTCCTTGTGTTGTGTGTATTCAACTGACAGAGTTGAACCTTCCTTTAGACAGAGCAGATTCGAAACACTCTTTTTCTGCAATTTGCAAGTGGAAACTTCAAGCGCTTTGAGGCCAAAGGCAGAAAAGGAAATATCTTCGTATAAAAACCCGACAGAATCACTCTCAGAAAGTGCTCTGTGATGTGTGCGTTCAACTCACAGAGTTTAACTTTTCTTTTCATTCAGCAGTTTGGAAACACTCTGTTTGTAAAGTCTGCAAGTGGATATCTTGGCCTCTTAGAGGCCTTCGTTGGAAACGGGTTTTTTCATGTAAGGTTAGACAGAGGAATTCCCAGTAACTTCCTTGTGTTGTGTGCATTCAACTCACAGAGTTGAATGATTCTTTACACAGAGCAGATTTGAGACACTCTTTTGGTGGAATTTGTAAGTGGAGAATTCAGCCGCTTTGAGGTCAACGGTAGAAAAGGAAATATCTTCGTATAAAAACTAGGCAGAATGATTCTCAGAAACTGTTTTGTGATGTGTGCGTTCAACTCACAGAGTTTAACCTTTCTTTTCAAAGAGCAGTTAGGAAACACTCTGTTTGTAAAGTCTGCAAGTGGATATTCAGACCTCTTTGAGGCCTTCGTTGGAAACGGGATTTCTTCATATTATGCTAGACAGATGAATTCTCAGTAACTTCCTTGTGTTGTGTGTATTCAACTCACAGAGTTGAACGATCCTTTACACAGAGCAGATTTGAAACACTGTTTTTCTGGAATTTGCAAGTGGAGATTTCAGCCGCTTTGAGGTCAATGGTAGAAAAGGAAATATCTTCGTATAAAAACTAGACAGAATGATTCTCAGAAACTCCTTTGTGATGTGTGCGTTCAACTCACAGAGTTTAACCTTTCTTTTCACAGAGCAGTTAGGAAACACTCTGTTTGTGAAGCCTGCCAGTGGATATTCGGACCTCTTTGAGGCCTTCGTTGGAAACGGGATTTCTTCATATTATGCTAGACAGAAGATTTCTCAGTAACTTCTTTGTGTTGTGTGTATGCAACTCACAGAGTTCAACCTTCCTTTAGACAGAGCAGATTTGAAACACTCTTTTTGTGGAATTTGCAAGTGGAGATTTCAAGCGCTTCGATGCCAATGGTAGAAAAGGAAATATCTTCGTATAAAAACAAGACAAACTCGTTCCCAGACACTGCGTAGTGATGTGTGTGTTTAACTCACAGAGTTTAACCTTTCTTTTCATACAGCATTCTGGAAACCCTGTGTTTGTAAAGTCTGCAAGTGGATATTTGGACCTCTTAGATGCCTTCGTTGGAAACGGGATTTCTTCATATAATGCTAGAGGGAAGAATTCTTAGTAACTTCTTTGTGTTGTGTGTATTCAACTGACAGAGTTGAACCTTCCTTTAGACAGAGCAGATTTGAAAGTCTCTTTTTGTGGAATTTGCAAGTGGAGATTTCAAGCGCTTTGAGGCCAAAAGCAGAAAAGGAAATATTTTCCTATAAAAACTCGACAGAATATCTTTCTCAGAAACTGCTCTGGGATGTGTGCGTTCAACTCACAGAGTTTAACTTTTCTTTTCATTCAGCAGTTTGGAAACACTCTGTTTGGAAAGTCTGCACGTGGATATTTTGACCTCTTTGAGGCCTTCGTTGGAAACGGGTTTTTTTCATGTAACGCTAGACAGAAGAAATCTCAGTAACTTCCTTGTGTTGTGTGTATTCAACTGACAGAGTTGAACCTTCCTTTAGACAGAGCAGATTCGAAACACTCTTTTTCTGCAATTTGCAAGTGGAGACTTCAAGCGCTTTGAGGCCAAAGGCAGAAAAGGAAATATCTTCGTATAAAAACCCGACAGAATCATTCTCAGAAACTGCTCTGTGATGTGTGCGTTCAACTCACAGAGTTTAACTTTTCTTTTCATTCAGCAGTTTGGAAACACTCTGTTTGTAAAGTCTGCAAGTGGATATCTTGGCCTCTTAGAGGCCTTCGTTGGAAGCGGGTTTTTTCATGTAAGGATAGACAGAGGAATTCCCAGTAACTTCCTTGTGTTGTATGCATTCAACTCACAGAGTTGAATGATTCTTTACACAGAGCAGATTTGAGACACTCTTTTGGTGGAATTTGTAAGTGGAGAATTCAGCCGCTTTGAGGTCAACGGTAGAAAAGGAAATATCTTCGTATAAAAACTAGACAGAATGATTCTCAGAAACTGTTTTGTGATGTGTGCTTTCAACTCACAGAGTTTAACCTTTCTTTTCAAAGAGCAGTTAGGAAACACTCTGTTTGTAAAGTCTGCAAGTGGATATTCAGACCTCTTTGAGGCCTTCGTTGGAAACGGGATTTCTTCATATTATGCTAGACAGATGAATTCTCAGTAACTTCCTTGTGTTGTGTGTATTCAACTCACAGAGTTGAACGATCCTTTACACAGAGCAGATTTGAAACACTGTTTTTCTGGAATTTGCAAGTGGAGATTTCAGCCGCTTTGAGGTCAATGGTAGAAAAGGAAATATCTTCGTATAAAAACTAGACAGAATGATTCTCAGAAACTCCTTTGTGATGTGTGCGTTCAACTCACAGAGTTTAACCTTTCTTTTCACAGAGCAGTTAGGAAACACTCTGTTTGTGAAGCCTGCCAGTGGATATTCGGACCTCTTTGAGGCCTTCGTTGGAAACGGGATTTCTTCATATTATGCTAGACAGAAGATTTCTCAGTAACTTCTTTGTGTTGTGTGTATGCAACTCACAGAGTTCAACCTTCCTTTAGACAGAGCAGATTTGAAACACTCTTTTTGTGGAATTTGCAAGTGGAGATTTCAAGCGCTTCGATGCCAATGGTAGAAAAGGAAATATCTTCGTATAAAAACAAGACAAACTCGTTCCCAGACACTGCGTAGTGATGTGTGTGTTTAACTCACAGAGTTTCACCTTTCTTTTCATACAGCATTCTGGAAACCCTCTGTTTGTAAAGTCTGGAAGTGGATATTTGGACCTCTTAGATGCCTTCGTTGGAAACGGGATTTCTTCATATAATGCTAGAGGGAAGAATTCTTAGTAACTTCTTTGTGTTGTGTGTATTCAACTGACAGAGTTGAACCTTCGTTTAGACAGAGCAGATTTGAAAGTCTCTTTTTGTGGAATTTGCAAGTGGAGATTTCAAGCGCTTTGAGGCCAAAAGCAGAAAAGGAAATATTTTCCTATAAAAACTAGACAGAATCTTTCTCAGAAACTGCTCTGGGATGTGTGTGTTCAACTCACAGAGTTTAACTTTTCTTTTCATTCAGCAGTTTGGAAACACTCTGTTTGGAAAGTCTGCACGTGGATATTTTGACCTCTTTGAGGCCTTCGTTGGAAACGAGTTTTTTTCATATAAGGCTAGACAGAAGAAATCTCAGTAACTTCCTTGTGTTGTGTGTATTCAACTGACAGAGTTGAACCTTCTTTTAGACAGAGCAGATTCGAAACACTCTTTTTCTGCAATTTGCAAGTGGAGACTTCAAGCGCTTTGAGGCCAAAGGCAGAAAAGGAAATATCTTCGTATAAAAACCCGACAGAATCATTCTCAGAAACTGCTCTGTGATGTGTGCGTTCAACTCACAGAGTTTAACTTTTCTTTTCATTCAGCAGTTTGGAAACACTCTGTTTGTAAAGTCTGCAAGTGGATATCTTGGCCTCTTAGAGGCCTTCGTTGGAAACGGGTTTTTTCATGTAAGGTTAGACAGAGGAATTCCCAGTAACTTCCTTGTGTTGTGTGCATTCAACTCACAGAGTTGAATGATTCTTTACACAGAGCAGATTTGAGACACTCTTTTGGTGGAATTTGTTAGTGGAGAATTCAGCCGCTTTGAGGTCAACGGTAGAAAAGGAAATATCTTCGTATAAAAACTAGACAGAATGATTCTCAGAAACTGTTTTGTGATGTGTGCGTTCAACTCACAGAGTTTAACCTTTCTTTTCAAAGAGCAGTTAGGAAACACTCTGTTTGTAAAGTCTGCAAGTGGATATTCAGACCTCTTTGAGGCCTTCGTTGGAAACGGGATTTCTTCATATTATGCTAGACAGATGAATTCTCAGTAACTTCCTTGTGTTGTGTGTATTCAACTCACAGAGTTGAACGATCCTTTACACAGAGAAGATTTGAAACACTGTTTTTCTGGAATTTGCAAGTGGAGATTTCAGCCGCTTTGAGGTCAATGGTAGAAAAAGAAATATCTTCGTATAAAAACTAGACAGAATGATTCTCAGAAACTCCTTTGTGATGTGTGCGTTCAACTCACAGAGTTTAACCTTTCTTTTCACAGAGCAGTTAGGAAACACTCTGTTTGTGAAGCCTGCCAGTGGATATTCGGACCTCTTTGAGGCCTTCGTTGGAAACGGGATTTCTTCATATTATGCTAGACAGAAGATTTCTCAGTAACTTCTTTGGGTTGTGTGTATGCAACTCACAGAGTTCAACCTTCCTTTAGAGAGAGCATATTTGAAACACTCTTTTTGTGGAATTTGCAAGTGGAGATTTCAAGCGTTTCGATGCCAATGGTAGAAAAGGAAATATCTTCGTATAAAAACAAGACAAACTCGTTCCCAGACACTGCGTAGTGATGTGTGTGTTTAACTCACAGAGTTTAACCTTTCTTTTCATACAGCATTCTGGAAACCCTCTGTTTGTAAAGTCTGCAAGTGGATATTTGGACCTCTTAGATGCCTTCGTTGGAAACGGGATTTCTTCATATAATGCTAGAGGGAAGAATTCTTAGTAACTTCTTTGTGTTGTGTGTATTCAACTGACAGAGTTGAACCTTCCTTTAGACAGAGCAGATTTGAAAGTCTCTTTTTGTGGAATTTGCAAGTGGAGATTTCAAGCGCTTTGAGGCCAAAAGCAGAAAAGGAAATATTTTCCTATAAAACCTCGACAGAATCTTTCTCAGAAACTGCTCTGGGATGTGTGCGTTCAACTCACAGAGTTTAACTTTTCTTTTCATTCAGCGTTTGGAAACACTCTGTTTGGAAAGTCTGCACGTGGATATTTTGACCTCTTTGAGGCCTTCGTTGGAAACGGGTTTTTTTCATGTAAGGCTAGACAGAAGAAATCTCAGTAACTTCCTTGTGTTGTGTGTATTCAACTGACAGAGTTGAACCTTCCTTTAGACAGAGCAGATTCGAAACACTCTTTTTCTGCAATTTGCAAGTGGAGACTTCAAGCGCTTTGAGGCCAAAGGCAGAAAAGGAAATATCTTCGTATAAAAACCCGACAGAATCATTCTCAGAAACTGCTCTGTGATGTGTGCGTTCAACTCACAGAGTTTAACTTTTCTTTTCATTCAGCAGTTTGGAAACACTCTGTTTGTAAAGTCTGCAAGTGGATATCTTGGCCTCTTAGAGGCCTTCGTTGGAAACGGGTTTTTTCATGTAAGGATAGACAGAGGAATTCCCAGTAACTTCCTTGTGTTGTGTGCATTCAACTCACAGAGTTGAATGATTCTTTACACAGAGCAGATTTGAGACACTCTTTTGGTGGAATTTGTAAGTGGAGAATTCAGCTGCTTTGAGGTCAACGGTAGAAAAGGAAATATCTTCGTATAAAAACTAGACAGAATGATTCTCAGAAACTGTTTTGTGATGTGTGCGTTCAACTCACAGAGTTTAACCTTTCTTTTCAAAGAGCAGTTAGGAAACACTCTGTTTGTAAAGTCTGCAAGTGGATATTCAGACCTCTTTGAGGCCTTCGTTGGAAACGGGATTTCTTCATATTATGCTAGACAGATGAATTCTCAGTAACTTCCTTGTGTTGTGTGTATTCAACTCACAGAGTTGAACGATCCTTTACACAGAGCAGATTTGAAACACTGTTTTTCTGGAATTTGCAAGTGGAGATGTCAGCCGCTTTGAGGTCAATGGTAGAAAAGGAAATATCTTCGTATAAAAACTAGACAGAATGATTCTCAGAAACTCCTTTGTGATGTGTGCGTTCAACTCACAGAGTTTAACCTTTCTTTTCACAGAGCAGTTAGGAAACACTCTGTTTGTGAAGCCTGCCAGTGGATATTCGGACCTCTTTGAGGCCTTCGTTGGAAACGGGATTTCTTCATATTATGCTAGACAGAAGATTTCTCAGTAACTTCTTTGTGTTGTGTGTATGCAACTCACAGAGTTCAACCTTCCTTTAGACAGAGCAGATTTGAAACACTCTTTTTGTGGAATTTGCAAGTGGAGATTTCAAGCGCTTCGATGCCAATGGTAGAAAAGGAAATATCTTCGTATAAAAACAAGACAAACTCGTTCCCAGACACTGCGTAGTGATGTGTGTGTTTAACTCACAGAGTTTCACCTTTCTTTTCATACAGCATTCTGGAAACCCTCTGTTTGTAAAGTCTGCAAGTGGATATTTGGACCTCTTAGATGCCTTCGTTGGAAACGGGATTTCTTCATATAATGCTAGAGGGAAGAATTCTTAGTAACTTCTTTGTGTTGTGTGTATTCAACTGACAGAGTTGAACCTTCCTTTAGACAGAGCAGATTTGAAAGTCTCTTTTTGTGGAATTTGCAAGTGGAGATTTCAAGCGCTTTGAGGCCAAAAGCAGAAAAGGAAATATTTTCCTATAAAAACTAGACAGAATCTTTCTCAGAAACTGCTCTGGGATGTGTGCGTTCAACTCACAGAGTTTAACTTTTCTTTTCATTCAGCAGTTTGGAAACACTCTGTTTGGAAAGTCTGCACGTGGATATTTTGACCTCTTTGAGGCCTTCGTTGGAAACGGGTTTTTTTCATGTAAGGCTAGACAGAAGAAATCTCAGTAACTTCCTTGTGTTGTGTGTATTCAACTGACAGAGTTGAACCTTCCTTTAGACAGAGCAGATTCGAAACACTCTTTTTCTGCAATTTGCAAGTGGAGACTTCAAGCGCTTTGAGGCCAAAGGCAGAAAAGGAAATATCTTCGTATAAAAACCCGACAGAATCATTCTCAGAAACTGCTCTGTGATGTGTGCGTTCAACTCACAGAGTTTAACTTTTCTTTTCATTCAGCAGTTTGGAAACACTCTGTTTGTAAAGTCTGCAAGTGGATATCTTGGCCTCTTAGAGGCCTTCGTTGGAAGCGGGTTTTTTCATGTAAGGTTAGACAGAGGAATTCCCAGTAACTTCCTTGTGTTGTGTGCATTCAACTCACAGAGTTGAATGATTCTTTACACAGAGCAGATTTGAGACACTCTTTTGGTGGAATTTGTAAGTGGAGAATTCAGCCGCTTTGAGGTCAACGGTAGAAAAGGAAATATCTTCGTATAAAAACTAGACAGAATGATTCTCAGAAACTGTTTTGTGATGTGTGCTTTCAACTCACAGAGTTTAACCTTTCTTTTCAAAGAGCAGTTAGGAAACACTCTGTTTGTAAAGTCTGCAAGTGGATATTCAGACCTCTTTGAGGCCTTCGTTGGAAACGGGATTTCTTCATATTATGCTAGACAGATGAATTCTCAGTAACTTCCTTGTGTTGTGTGTATTCAACTCACAGAGTTGAACGATCCTTTACACAGAGCAGATTTGAAACACTGTTTTTCTGGAATTTGCAAGTGGAGATGTCAGCCGCTTTGAGGTCAATGGTAGAAAAGGAAATATCTTCGTATAAAAACTAGACAGAATGATTCTCAGAAACTCCTTTGTGATGTGTGCGTTCAACTCACAGAGTTTAACCTTTCTTTTCACAGAGCAGTTAGGAAACACTCTGTTTGTGAAGCCTGCCAGTGGATATTCGGACCTCTTTGAGGCCTTCGTTGGAAACGGGATTTCTTCATATTATGCTAGACAGAAGATTTCTCAGTAACTTCTTTGTGTTGTGTGTATGCAACTCACAGAGTTCAACCTTCCTTTAGACAGAGCAGATTTGAAACACTCTTTTTGTGGAATTTGCAAGTGGAGATTTCAAGCGCTTTGAGGCCAAAAGGCAGAAAAGGAAATATTTTCCTATAAAAACTAGACAGAATCTTTCTCAGAAACTGCTCTGTGATGTGTGCGTTCAACTCACAGAGTTTAACTTTTCTTTTCATTCAGCAGTTTGGAAACACTCTGTTTGTAAAGTCTGCAAGTGGATATCTTGGCCTCTTAGAGGCCTTCGTTGGAAACGGGTTTTTTCATGTAAGGATAGACAGAGGAATTCCCAGTAACTTCCTTGTGTTGTGTGCATTCAACTCACAGAGTTGAATGATTCTTTACACAGAGCAGATTTGAGACACTCTTTTGGTCGAATTTGTAAGTGGAGAATTCAGCCGCTTTGAGGTCAACGGTAGAAAAGGAAATATCTTCGTATAAAAACTAGACAGAATGATTCTCAGAAACTGTTTTGTGATGTGTGCGTTCAACTCACAGAGTTTAACCTTTCTTTTCAAAGAGCAGTTAGGAAACACTCTGTTTGTAAAGTCTGCAAGTGGATATTCAGACCTCTTTGAGGCCTTCGTTGGAAACGGGATTTCTTCATATTATGCTAGACAGATGAATTCTCAGTAACTTCCTTGTGTTGTGTGTATTCAACTCACAGAGTTAAACGATCCTTTACACAGAGCAGATTTGAAACACTGTTTTTCTGGAATTTGCAAGTGGAGATTTCAGCCGCTTTGAGGTCAATGGTAGAAAAGGAAATATCTTCGTATAAAAACTAGACAGAATGATTCTCAGAAACTCCTTTGTGATGTGTGCGTTCAACTCACAGAGTTTAACCTTTCTTTTCACAGAGCAGTTAGGAAACACTCTGTTTGTGAAGCCTGCCAGTGGATATTCGGACCTCTTTGAGGCCTTCGTTGGAAACGGGATTTCTTCATATTATGCTAGACAGAAGATTTCTCAGTAACTTCTTTGTGTTGTGTGTATGCAACTCACAGAGTTCAACCTTCCTTTAGACAGAGCAGATTTGAAACACTCTTTTTGTGGAATTTGCAAGTGGAGATTTCAAGCGCTTCGATGCCAATGGTAGAAAAGGAAATATCTTCGTATAAAAACAAGACAAACTCGTTCCCAGACACTGCGTAGTGATGTGTGTGTTTAACTCACAGAGTTTAACCTTTCT
Source organism: Homo sapiens (assembly GCF_000001405.40). Classification (NCBI taxonomy): domain Eukaryota; kingdom Metazoa; phylum Chordata; class Mammalia; order Primates; family Hominidae; genus Homo; species Homo sapiens. The sequence goes on from NC_000016.10 coordinate 36,427,732, forward strand.
TTTCATACAGCATTCTGGAAACCCTCTGTTTGTAAAGTCTGCAAGTGGATATTTGGACCTCTTAGATGCCTTCGTTGGAAACGGGATTTCTTCATATAATGCTAGAGGGAAGAATTCTTAGTAACTTCTTTGTGTTGTGTGTATTCAACTGACAGAGTTGAACCTTCCTTTAGACAGAGCAGATTTGAAAGTCTCTTTTTGTGGAATTTGCAAGTGGAGATTTCAAGCGCTTTGAGGCCAAAAGCAGAAAAGGAAATATTTTCCTATAAAAACTAGACAGAATCATTCTCAGAAACTGCTCTGTGATGTGTGTGTTCAACTCACAGAGTTTAACTTTCTTTTCATTCAGCAGTTTGGAAACACTCTGTTTAGAAAGTCTGCACGTGGATATTTTGACCTCTTTGAGGCCTTCGTTGGAAACGGGTTTTTTCATGTAAGGCTAGACAGAAGAAATCTCAGTAACTTCCTTGTGTTGTGTGTATTCAACTGACAGAGTTGAACCTTCCTTTAGACAGAGCAGATTCGAAACACTCTTTTTCTGCAATTTGCAAGTGGAGACTTCAAGTGCTTTGAGGCCAAAGGCAGAAAAGGAAATATCTTCGTATAAAAACCCGACAGAATCATTCTCAGAAACTGCTCTGTGATGTGTGCGTTCAACTCACAGAGTTTAACTTTTCTTTTCATTCAGCAGTTTGGAAACACTCTGTTTGTAAAGTCTGCAAGTGGATATCTTGGCCTCTTAGAGGCCTTCGTTGGAAACGGGTTTTTTCATGTAAGGATAGACAGAGGAATTCCCAGTAACTTCCTTGTGTTGTGTGCATTCAACTCACAGAGTTGAATGATTCTTTACACAGAGCAGATTTGAGACACTCTTTTGGTGGAATTTGTAAGTGGAGAATTCAGCCGCTTTGAGGTCAACGGTAGAAAAGGAAATATCTTCGTATAAAAACTAGACAGAATGATTCTCAGAAACTGTTTTGTGATGTGTGCGTTCAACTCACAGAGTTTAACCTTTCTTTTCAAAGAGCAGTTAGGAAACACTCTGTTTGTAAAGTCTGCAAGTGGATATTCAGACCTCTTTGAGGCCTTCGTTGGAAACGGGATTTCTTCATATTATGCTAGACAGATGAATTCTCAGTAACTTCCTTGTGTTGTGTGTATTCAACTCACAGAGTTGAACGATCCTTTACACAGAGCAGATTTGAAACACTGTTTTTCTGGAATTTGCAAGTGGAGATTTCAGCCGCTTTGAGGTCAATGGTAGAAAAGGAAATATCTTCGTATAAAAACTAGACAGAATGATTCTCAGAAACTCCTTTGTGATGTGTGCATTCAACTCACAGAGTTTAACCTTTCTTTTCACAGAGCAGTTAGGAAACACTCTGTTTGTGAAGCCTGCCAGTGGATATTCGGACCTCTTTGAGGCCTTCGTTGGAAACGGGATTTCTTCCTATTATGCTAGACAGAAGATTTCTCAGTAACTTCTTTGGGTTGTGTGTATGCAACTCACAGAGTTCAACCTTCCTTTAGACAGAGCAGATTTGAAACACTCTTTTTGTGGAATTTGCAAGTGGAGATTTCAAACGCTTCGATGCCAATGGTAGAAAAGGAAATATCTTCGTATAAAAACAAGACAAACTCATTCCCAGACACTGCGTAGTGATGTGTGTGTTTAACTCACAGAGTTTAACCTTTCTTTTCATACAGCATTCTGGAAACCCTCTGTTTGTAAAGTCTGCAAGTGGATATTTGGACCTCTTAGATGCCTTCGTTGGAAACGGGATTTCTTCATATAATGCTAGAGGGAAGAATTCTTAGTAACTTCTTGGTGTTGTGTGTATTCAACTGACAGAGTTGAACCTTCCTTTAGACAGAGCAGATTTGAAAGTCTCTTTTTGTGGAATTTGCAAGTGGAGATTTCAAGCGCTTTGAGGCCAAAAGCAGAAAAGGAAATATTTTCCTATAAAAACTCGACAGAATCTTTCTCAGAAACTGCTCTGTGATGTGTGCGTTCAACTCACAGAGTTTAACTTTTCTTTTCATTCAGCAGTTTGGAAACACTCTGTTTGGAAAGTCTGCACGTGGATATTTTGACCTCTTTGAGGCCTTCGTTGGAAACGGGTTTTTTTAATGTAACGCTAGACAGAAGAAATCTCAGTAACTTCCTTGTGTTGTGTGTATTCAACTGACAGAGTTGAACCTTCCTTTAGACAGAGCAGATTCGAAACACTCTTTTTCTGCAATTTGCAAGTGGAGACTTCAAGCGCTTTGAGGCCAAAGGCAGAAAAGGAAATATCTTCGTATAAAAACCCGACAGAATCTTTCTCAGAAACTGCTCTGTGATGTGTGCGTTCAACTCACAGAGTTTAACTTTTCTTTTCATTCAGCAGTTTGGAAACACTCTGTTTGTAAAGTGTGCAAGTGGATATCTTGGCCTCTTAGAGGCCTTCGTTGGAAACGGGTTTTTTCATTTAAGGATAGACAGAGGAATTCCCAGTAACTCCCTTGTGTTGTGTGCATTCAACTCACAGAGTTGAATGATTCTTTACACAGAGCAGATTTGAGACACTCTTTTGGTGGAATTTGTAAGTGGAGAATTCAGCCGCTTTGAGGTCAACGGTAGAAAAGGAAATATCTTCGTATAAAAACTAGACAGAATGATTCTCAGAAACTGTTTTGTGATGTGTGCGTTCAACTCACAGAGTTTAACCTTTCTTTTCAAAGAGCAGTTAGGAAACACTCTGTTTGTAAAGTCTGCAAGTGGATATTCAGACCTCTTTGAGGCCTTCGTTGGAAACGGGATTTCTTCATATTATGCTAGACAGATGAATTCTCAGTAACTTCCTTGTGTTGTGTGTATTCAACTCACAGAGTTGAACGATCCTTTACACAGAGCAGATTTGAAACACTGTTTTTCTGGAATTTGCAAGTGGAGATTTCAGCCGCTTTGAGGTCAATGGTAGAAAAGGAAATATCTTCATATAAAAACTAGACAGAATGATTCTCAGAAACTCCTTTGTGATGTGTGCGTTCAACTCACAGAGTTTAACCTTTCTTTTCACAGAGCAGTTAGGAAACACTCTGTTTGTGAAGCCTGCCAGTGGATATTCGGACCTCTTTGAGGCCTTCGTTGGAAACGGGATTTCTTCATATTATGCTAGACAGAAGATTTCTCAGTAACTTCTTTGTGTTGTGTGTATGCAACTCACAGAGTTCAACCTTCCTTTAGACAGAGCAGATTTGAAACACTCTTTTTGTGGAATTTGCAAGTGGAGATTTCAAGCGCTTCGATGCCAATGGTAGAAAAGGAAATATCTTCGTATAAAAACAAGACAAACTCGTTCCCAGACACTGCGTAGTGATGTGTGTGTTTAACTCACAGAGTTTAACCTTTCTTTTCATACAGCATTCTGGAAACCCTGTGTTTGTAAAGTCTGCAAGTGGATATTTGGACCTCTTAGATGCCTTCGTTGGAAACGGGATTTCTTCATATAATGCTAGAGGGAAGAATTCTTAGTAACTTCTTTGTGTTGTGTGTATTCAACTGACAGAGTTGAACCTTCCTTTAGACAGAGCAGATTTGAAAGTCTCTTTTTGTGGAATTTGCAAGTGGAGATTTCAAGCGCTTTGAGGCCAAAAGCAGAAAAGGAAATATTTTCCTATAAAAACTCGACAGAATCTTTCTCAGAAACTGCTCTGGGATGTGTGCGTTCAACTCACAGAGTTTAACTTTTCTTTTCATTCAGCAGTTTGGAAACACTCTGTTTGGAAAGTCTGCACGTGGATATTTTGACCTCTTTGAGGCCTTCATTGGAAACGGGTTTTTTTCATGTAAGGCTAGACAGAAGAAATCTCAGTAACTTCCTTGTGTTGTGTGTATTCAACTGACAGAGTTGAACCTTCCTTTAGACAGAGCAGATTCGAAACACTCTTTTTCTGCAATTTGCAAGTGGAGACTTCAAGCGCTTTGAGGCCAAAGGCAGAAAAGGAAATATCTTCGTATAAAAACCCGACAGAATCATTCTCAGAAACTGCTCTGTGATGTGTGCTGTTCAACTCACAGAGTTTAACTTTTCTTTTCATTCAGCAGTTTGGAAACACTCTGTTTGTAAAGTCTGCAAGTGGATATCTTGGCCTCTTAGAGGCCTTCGTTGGAAACGGGTTTTTTCATGTAAGGTTAGACAGAGGAATTCCCAGTAACTTCCTTGTGTTGTGTGCATTCAACTCACAGAGTTGAATGATTCTTTACACAGAGCAGATTTGAGACACTCTTTTGGTGGAATTTGTAAGTGGAGAATTCAGCCGCTTTGAGGTCAACGGTAGAAAAGGAAATATCTTCGTATAAAAACTAGACAGAATGATTCTCAGAAACTGTTTTGTGATGTGTGCGTTCAACTCACAGAGTTTAACCTTTCTTTTCAAAGAGCAGTTAGGAAACACTCTGTTTGTAAAGTCTGCAAGTGGATATTCAGACCTCTTTGAGGCCTTCGTTGGAAACGGGATTTCTTCATATTATGCTAGACAGATGAATTCTCAGTAACTTCCTTGTGTTGTGTGTATTCAACTCACAGAGTTCAACCTTCCTTTAGACAGAGCAGATTTGAAACACTCTTTTTGTGGAATTTGCAAGTGGAGATTTCAAGCGCTTCGATGCCAATGGTAGAAAAGGAAATATCTTCGTATAAAAACAAGACAAACTCGTTCCCAGACACTGCGTAGTGATGTGTGTGTTTAACTCACAGAGTTTCACCTTTCTTTTCATACAGCATTCTGGAAACCCTCTGTTTGTACAGTCTGCAAGTGGATATTTGGACCTCTTAGATGCCTTCGTTGGAAACGGGATTTCTTCATATAATGCTAGAGGGAAGAATTCTTAGTAACTTCTTTGTGTTGTGTGTATTCAACTGACAGAGTTGAACCTTCCTTTAGACAGAGCAGATTTGAAAGTCTCTTTTTGTGGAATTTGCAAGTGGAGATTTCAAGCGCTTTGAGGCCAAAAGCAGAAAAGGAAATATTTTCCTATAAAAACTAGACAGAATCTTTCTCAGAAACTGCTCTGGGATGTGTGCGTTCAACTCACAGAGTTTAACTTTTCTTTTCATTCAGCAGTTTGGAAACACTCTGTTTGGAAAGTCTGCACGTGGATATTTTGACCTCTTTGAGGCCTTCGTTGGAAACGGGTTTTTTTCATGTAAGGCTAGACAGAAGAAATCTCAGTAACTTCCTTGTGTTGTGTGTATTCAACTGACAGAGTTGAACCTTCCTTTAGACAGAGCAGATTCGAAACACTCTTTTTCTGCAATTTGCAAGTGGAGACTTCAAGCGCTTTGAGGCCAAAGGCAGAAAAGGAAATATCTTCGTATAAAAACCCGACAGAATCATTCTCAGAAACTGCTCTGTGATGTGTGCGTTCAACTCACAGAGTTTAACTTTTCTTTTCATTCAGCAGTTTGGAAACACTCTGTTTGTAAAGTCTGCAAGTGGATATCTTGGCCTCTTAGAGGCCTTCGTTGGAAACGGGTTTTTTCATGTAAGGTTAGACAGAGGAATTCCCAGTAACTTCCTTGTGTTGTGTGCATTCAACTCACAGAGTTGAATGATTCTTTACACAGAGCAGATTTGAGACACTCTTTTGGTGGAATTTGTAAGTGGAGAATTCAGCCGCTTTGAGGTCAACGGTAGAAAAGGATATATCTTCGTATAAAAACTAGACAGAATGATTCTCAGAAACTGTTTTGTGATGTGTGCTTTCAACTCACAGAGTTTAACCTTTCTTTTCAAAGAGCAGTTAGGAAACACTCTGTTTGTAAAGTCTGCAAGTGGATATTCAGACCTCTTTGAGGCCTTCGTTGGAAACGGGATTTCTTCATATTATGCTAGACAGATGAATTCTCAGTAACTTCCTTGTGTTGTGTGTATTCAACTCACAGAGTTGAACGATCCTTTACACAGAGCAGATTTGAAACACTGTTTTTCTGGAATTTGCAAGTGGAGATTTCAGCCGCTTTGAGGTCAATGGTAGAAAAGGAAATATCTTCTGTATAAAAACTAGACAGAATGATTCTCAGAAACTCCTTTGTGATGTGTGCGTTCAACTCACAGAGTTTAACCTTTCTTTTCACAGAGCAGTTAGGAAACACTCTGTTTGTGAAGCCTGCCAGTGGATATTCGGACCTCTTTGAGGCCTTCGTTGGAAACGGGATTTCTTCATATTATGCTAGACAGAAGATTTCTCAGTAACTTCTTTGTGTTGTGTGTATGCAACTCACAGAGTTCAACCTTCCTTTAGACAGAGCAGATTTGAAACACTCTTTTTGTGGAATTTGCAAGTGGAGATTTCAAGCGCTTCGATGCCAATGGTAGAAAAGGAAATATCTTCGTATAAAAACAAGACAAACTCGTTCCCAGACACTGCGTAGTGATGTGTGTGTTTAACTCACAGAGTTTCACCTTTCTTTTCATACAGCATTCTGGAAACCCTCTGTTTGTAAAGTCTGCAAGTGGATATTTGGACCTCTTAGATGCCTTCGTTGGAAACGGGATTTCTTCATATAATGCTAGAGGGAAGAATTCTTAGTAACTTCTTTGTGTTGTGTGTATTCAACTGACAGAGTTGAACCTTCCTTTAGACAGAGCAGATTTGAAAGTCTCTTTTTGTGGAATTTGCAAGTGGAGATTTCAAGCGCTTTGAGGCCAAAAGCAGAAAAGGAAATATTTTCCTATAAAAACTAGACAGAATCATTCTCAGAAACTGCTCTGTGATGTGTGTGTTCAACTCACAGAGTTTAACTTTCTTTTCATTCAGCAGTTTGGAAACACTCTGTTTGGAAAGTCTGCACGTGGATATTTTGACCTCTTTGAGGCCTTCGTTGGAAACGGGTTTTTTTAATGTAACGCTAGACAGAAGAAATCTCAGTAACTTCCTTGTGTTGTGTGTATTCAACTGACAGAGTTGAACCTTCCTTTAGACAGAGCAGATTCGAAACACTCTTTTTCTGCAATTTGCAAGTGGAGACTTCAAGCGCTTTGAGGCCAAAGGCAGAAAAGGAAATATCTTCGTATAAAAACCCGACAGAATCATTCTCAGAAACTGCTCTGTGATGTGTGCGTTCAACTCACAGAGTTTAACTTTTCTTTTCATTCAGCAGTTTGGAAACACTCTGTTTGTAAAGTCTGCAAGTGGATATCTTGGCCTCTTAGAGGCCTTCGTTGGAAACGGGTTTTTTCATGTAAGGTAGACAGAGGAATTCCCAGTAACTTCCTTGTGTTGTGTGCATTCAACTCACAGAGTTGAATGATTCTTTACACAGACCTGATTTGAGACACACTTTTGGTGGAATTTGTAAGTGGAGAATTCAGCCGCTTTGAGGTCAACGGTAGAAAAGGAAATATCTTCGTATAAAAACTAGAAAGAATGATTCTCAGAAACTGTTTTGTGATGTGTGCGTTCAACTCAAAGAGTTTAACCTTTGTTTTCAAAGAGCAGTTAGGAAACACTCTGTTTGTAAAGTCTGCAAGTGGATATTCAGACCTCTTTGAAGCCTTCGTTGGAAACGGGATTTCATCATATTATGCTAGACAGATGAATTCTCAGTAACTTCCTTGTGTTGTGTGTATTCAACTCACAGAGTTGAACGATCCTTTACACAGAGCAGATTTGAAACACTGTTTTTCTGGAATTTGCAAGTGGAGATTTCAGCCGCTTTGAGGTCAATGGTAGAAAAGGAAATATCTTCGTATAAAAACTGGACAGAATGATTCTCAGAAACTCCTTTGTGATGTGTGCGTTCAACTCACAGAGTTTAACCTTTCTTTTCACAGAGCAGTTAGGAAACACTCTGTTTGTGAAGCCTGCCAGTGGATATTCGGACCTCTTTGAGGCCTTCGTTGGAAACGGGATTTCTTCATATTTTGCTAGACAGAAGATTTCTCAGTAACTTCTTTGTGTTGTGTGTATGCAACTCACAGAGTTCAACCTTCCTTTAGACAGAGCAGATTTGAAACACTCTTTTTGTGGAATTTGCAAGTGGAAATTTCAAGCACATCGATGCCAATGGTAGAAAAGGAAATATCTTCGTATAAAAACAAGACAAACTCGTTCCCAGACACTGCGTAGTGATGTGTGTGTTTAACTCACAGAGTTTAACCTTTCTTTTCATACAGCATTCTGGAAACCCTCTGTTTGTAAAGTCTGCAAGTGGATATTTGGACCTCTTAGATGCCTTCGTTGGGAACGGGATTTCTTCATATAATGCTAGAGGGAAGAATTCTTAGTAACTTCTTTGTGTTGTGTGTATTCAACTGACAGAGTTGAACCTTCCTTTAGACAGAGCAGATTTGAAAGTCTCTTTTTGTGGAATTTGCAAGTGGAGATTTCAAGCGCTTTGAGGCCAAAAGCAGAAAAGGAAATATTTTCCTATAAAAACTAGACAGAATCTTTCTCAGAAACTGCTCTGGGATGTGTGCGTTCAACTCACAGAGTTTAACTATTCTTTCCATTCAGCAGTTTGGAAACACTCTGTTTGGAAAGTCTGCACGTGGATATTTTGACCTCTTTGAGGCCTTCGTTGGAAACGGGTTTTTTTCATGTAAGGCTAGACAGAAGAAATCTCAGTAACTTCCTTGTGTTGTGTGTATTCAACTGACAGAGTTGAACCTTCCTTTAGACAGAGCAGATTCGAAACACTCTTTTTCTGCAATTTGCAAGTGGAGACTTCAAGCGCTTTGAGGCCAAAGGCAGAAAAGGAAATATCTTCGTATAAAAACCCGACAGAATCATTCTCAGAAACTGCTCTGTGATGTGTGCGTTCAACTCACAGAGTTTAACTTTTCTTTTCATTCAGCAGTTTGGAAACACTCTGTTTGTAAAGTCTGCAAGTGGATATCTTGGCCTCTTAGAGGCCTTCGTTGGAAACGGGTTTCTTCATGTAAGGTTAGACAGAGGAATTCCCAGTAACTTCCTTGTGTTGTGTGCACTCAACTCACAGAGTTGAATGATTCTTTACACAGAGCAGATTTGAGACACTCTTTTGGTGGAATTTGTAAGTGGAGAATTCAGCCGATTTGAGGTCAATGGTACAAAAGGAAATATCTTCGTATAAAAACTAGACAGAATGATTCTCAGAAACTGTTTTGTGATGTGTGCGTTCAACTCACAGAGTTTAACCTTTCTTTTCAAAGAGCAGTTAAGAAACACTCTGTTTGTAAAGTCTGCAAGTGGATATTCATACCTCTTTGAGGCGTTCTTTGGAAACGGGATTTCTTCATATTATGCTAAGACAGATGAATTCTCAGTAACTTCCTTGTGTTGTGTGTATTCAACTCACAGAGTTGAACGATCCTTTACACAGAGCAGATTTGAAACACTGTTTTTCTGGAATTTGCAAGTGGAGATTTCAGCCGCTTTGAGGTCAATAGTAGAAAAGGAAATATCTTCGTATAAAAACTAGACAGAATGATTCTCAGAAACTCCTTTGTGATGTGTGCGTTCAACTCACAGAGTTTAACCTTTCTTTTCACAGAGCAGTTAGGAAACACTCTGTTTGTGAAGCCTGCCAGTGGATAATCGGACCTCTTTGAGGCCTTCGTTGGAAACGGGATTTCTTCATATTATGCTAGACAGAAGATTTCTCAGTAACTTCTTTGTGTTGTGTGTATGCAACTCACAGAGTTCAACCTTCCTTTAGACAGAGCAGATTTGAAACACTCTTTTTGTGGAATTTGCAAGTGGAGATTTCAAGCGCTTCGATGCCAATGGTAGAAAACGAAATATCTTCGTATAAAAACAAGACAAACTCGTTCCCAGACACTGCGTAGTGATGTGTGTGTTTAACTCACAGAGTTTAACCTTTCTTTTCATACAGCATTCTGGAAACCCTGTGTTTGTAAAGTCTGCAAGTGGATATTTGGACCTCTTAGATGCCTTCGTTGGAAACGGGATTTCTTCATATAATGCTAGAGGGAAGAATTCTTAGTAACTTCTTTGTGTTGTGTGTATTCAACTGACAGAGTTGAACCTTCCTTTAGACAGAGCAGATTTGAAAGTCTCTTTTTGTGGAATTTGCAAGTGGAGATTTCAAGCGCTTTGAGGCCAAAAGCAGAAAAGGAAATATTTTCCTATAAAAACTAGACAGAATCTTTCTCAGAAACTGCTCTGGGATGTGTGCGTTCAACTCACAGAGTTTAACTTTTCTTTTCATTCAGCAGTTTGGAAACACTCTGTTTGGAAAGTCTGCACGTGGATATTTTGACCTCTTTGAGGCCTTCGTTGGAAACGGGTTTTTTTCATGTAAGGCTAGACAGAAGAAATCTCAGTAACTTCCTTGTGTTGTGTGTATTCAACTGACAGAGTTGAACCTTCCTTTAGACAGAGCAGATTCGAAACACTCTTTTTCTGCAATTTGCAAGTGGAGACTTCAAGCGCTTTGAGGCCAAAGGCAGAAAAGGAAATATCTTCGTATAAAAACCCGACAGAATCATTCTCAGAAACTGCTCTGTGATGTGTGCGTTCAACTCACAGAGTTTAACTTTTCTTTTCATTCAGCAGTTTGGAAACACTCTGTTTGTAAAGTCTGCAAGTGGATATCTTGGCCTCTTAGAGGCCTTCGTTGGAAACGGGTTTTTTCATGTAAGGTTAGACAGAGGAATTCCCAGTAACTTCCTTGTGTTGTGTGCATTCAACTCACAGAGTTGAATGATTCTTTACACAGAGCAGATTTGAGACACACTTTTGGTGGAATTTGTAAGTGGAGAATTCAGCCGCTTTGAGGTCAACGGTAGAAAAGGAAATATCTTCGTATAAAAACTAGAAAGAATGATTCTCAGAAACTGTTTTGTGATGTGTGCGTTCAACTCACAGAGTTTAACCTTTCTTTTCAAAGAGCAGTTAGGAAACACTCTGTTTGTAAAGTCTGCAAGTGGATATTCAGACCTCTTTGAAGCCTTCGTTGGAAACGGGATTTCATCATATTATGCTAGACAGATGAATTCTCAGTAACTTTCCTTGTGTTGTGTGTATTCAACTCACAGAGTTGAACGATCCTTTACACAGAGCAGATTTGAAACACTGTTTTTCTGGAATTTGCAAGTGGAGATTTCAGCCGCTTTGAGGTCAATGGTAGAAAAGGAAATATGCTTCGTATAAAAACTAGACAGAATGATTATCAGAAACTGTTTTGTGATGTGTGCGTTCAACTCACAGAGTTTAACCTTTCTTTTCATAGAGCAGTTACGAAACACTCTGTTTGTGAAGCCTGCCAGTGGATATTCGGACCTCTTTGAGACCTTCGTTGGAAACGGTATTTCTTCATATTATGCTAGACAGAAGATTTCTCAGTAACTTCTTTGTGTTGTGTGTATGCAACTCACAGAGTTCAACCTTCCTTTAGAGAGAGCAGATTTGAAACACTCTTTTTGTGGAATTTGCAAGTGGAGATTTCAAGCGCTTCGATGCCAATGGTAGAAAAGGAAATATCTTCGTATAAAAACAAGACAAACTCGTTCCCAGACACTGCGTAGTGATGTGTGTGTTTAACTCACAGAGTTTAACCTTTCTTTTCATACAGCATTCTGGAAACCCTCTGTTTGTAAAGTCTGCAAGTGGATATTTGGACCTCTTAGATGCCTTCGTTGGAAACGGGATTTCTTCATATAATGCTAGAGGGAAGAATTCTTAGTAACTTCTTTGTGTTGTGTGTTTTCAACTGACGGAGTTGAAACTTCCTTTAGAAAGAGTAGATTTGAAACTCTCTTTTTGTGGAATTTGCAAGTGGAGATTTCAAGCGCTTTGAGGCCAAAAGCAGAAAAGGAAATATTTTCCTATAAAAACTAGACAGAATCATTCTCAGAAACTGCTCTGTGATGTGTGCGTTCAATTCACAGAGTTTAACATTTCTTTTCATTCAGCAGTTTGGAAACACTCTGTTTGTAAAGTCTGTACGTGGATATTTTGACCTCTTAGAGGCCTTCGTAGGAAACGGGTTTTTTTCATGTATTGCTAGACAAAAGAAATCTCAGTAAATTCCTGGTCTTGTGTGTATTCAACTGACAGAGTTGAACCTTCATTTAGACAGAGCAGATTCGAAACACTCTTTTTCTGCAATTTGCAAGTGGAGACTTCAAGCGCTTTGAGGCCAAAGGCAGAAAAGGAAATATCTTCGTATAAAAAACAGACAGAATCATTCTCAGAAACTGCTCTGTGATGTGTGCGTTCAACTCACAGAGTTTAACTTTTCTTTTCATTCAGCAGTTTGGAAACACTCTGTTTGTAAAGTCTGCAAGTGGATATCTTGTCCTCTTAGAGGCCTTCGTTGGAAACGGGTTTTTTCATGTAAGGTTAGACAGAGGAATTCCCAGTAACTTCCTTGTGTTGTGTGCATTCAACTCACAGAGTTGAATGATTCTTTACACAGAGCAGATTTGAGACACTCTTTTGGTGGAATTTGTTAGTGGAGAATTCAGCCGCTTTGAGGTCAACGGTAGAAAAGGAAATATCTTCGTATAAAAACTAGACAGAATGATTCTCAGAAACTGTTTTGTGATGTGTGCGTTCAACTCACAGAGTTTAACCTTTCTTTTCAAAGAGCAGTTAGGAAACACTCTGTTTGTAAAGTCTGCAAGTGGATATTCAGACCTCTTTGAGGCCTTCGTTGGAAACGGGATTTCTTCATATTATGCTAGACAGATGAATTCTCAGTAACTTCCTTGTGTTGTGTGTATTCAACTCACAGAGTTGAACGATCCTTTACACAGAGCAGATTTGAAACACTGTTTTTCTGGAATTTGCAAGTGGAGATTTCAGCCGCTTTGAGGTCAATGGTAGAAAAGGAAATATCTTCGTATAAAAACTAGACAGAATGATTCTCAGAAACTCCTTTGTGATGTGTGCGTTCAACTCACAGAGTTTAACCTTTCTTTTCACAGAGCAGTTAGGAAACACTCTGTTTGTGAAGCCTGCCAGTGGATATTCGGACCTCTTTGAGGCCTTCGTTGGAAACGGGATTTCTTCATATTATGCTAGACAGAAGATTTCTCAGTAACTTCTTTGTGTTGTGTGTATGCAACTCACAGAGTTCAACCTTCCTTTAGACAGAGCAGATTTGAAACACTCTTTTTGTGGAATTTGCAAGTGGAGATTTCAAGCGCTTCGATGCCAATGGTAGAAAAGGAAATATCTTCGTATAAAAACAAGACAAACTCGTTCCCAGACACTGCGTAGTGATGTGTGTGTTTAACTCACAGAGTTTAACCTTTCTTTTCATACAGCATTCTGGAAACCCTCTGTTTGTAAAGTCTGCAAGTGGATATTTGGACCTCTTAGATGCCTTCGTTGGAAACGGGATTTCTTCATATAATGCTAGAGGGAAGAATTCTTAGTAACTTCTTTGTGTTGTGTGTATTCAAGTGACAGAGTTGAACCTTCCTTTAGACAGAGCAGATTTGAAAGTCTCTTTTTGTGGAATTTGCAAGTGGAGATTTCAAGCGCTTTGAGGCCAAAAGCAGAAAAGGAAATATTTTCCTATAAAAACTAGACAGAATCTTTCTCAGAAACTGCTCTGTGATGTGTGCGTTCAACTCACAGAGTTTAACTTTTCTTTTCATTCAGCAGTTTGGAAACACTCTGTTTGGAAAGTCTGCACGTGGATATTTTGACCTCTTTGAGGCCTTCGTTGGAAACGGGTTTTTTTCATGTAACGCTAGACAGAAGAAACCTCAGTAACTTCCTTGTGTTGTGTGTATTCAACTGACAGAGTTGAACCTTCCTTTAGACAGAGCAGATTCGAAACACTCTTTTTCTGCAATTTGCAAGGGGAGACTTCAAGCGCTTTGAGGCCAAAGGCAGAAAAGGAAATATCTTCGTATAAAAACCCGACAGAATCATTCTCAGAAACTGCTCTGTGATGTGTGCGTTCAACTCACAGAGTTTAACTTTTCTTTTCATTCAGCAGTTTGGAAACACTCTGTTTGTAAAGTCTGCAAGTGGATATCTTGGCCTCTTAGAGGCCTTCGTTGGAAGCGGGTTTTTTCATGTAAGGATAGACAGAGGAATTCCCAGTAACTTCCTTGTGTTGTGTGCATTCAACTCACAGAGTTGAATGATTCTTTACACAGAGCACATTTGAGACACTCTTTTGGTGGAATTTGTAAGTGGAGAATTCAGCCGCTTTGAGGTCAACGGTAGAAAAGCAAATATCTTCGTATAAAAACTAGACAGAATGATTCTCAGAAACTGTTTTGTGATGTGTGCGTTCAACTCACAGAGTTTAACCTTTCTTTTCAAAGAGCAGTTAGGAAACACTCTGTTTGTAAAGTCTGCAAGTGGATATTCAGACCTCTTTGAGGCCTTCGTTGGAAACGGGATTTCTTCATATTATGCTAGACAGATGAATTCTCAGTAACTTCCTTGTGTTGTGTGTATTCAACTCACAGAGTTGAACGATCCTTTACACAGAGCAGATTTGAAACACTGTTTTTCTGGAATTTGCAAGTGGAGATTTCAGCCGCTTTGAGGTCAATGGTAGAAAAGGAAATATCTTCGTATAAAAACTAGACAGAATGATTCTCAGAAACTCCTTTGTGATGTGTGCGTTCAACTCACAGAGTTTAACCTTTCTTTTCACAGAGCAGTTAGGAAACACTCTGTTTGTGAAGCCTGCCAGTGGATATTCGGACCTCTTTGAGGCCTTCGTTGGAAACGGGATTTCTTCATATTATGCTATTCAGAAGATTTCTCAGTAACTTCTTTGTGTTGTGTGTATGCAACTCACAGAGTTCAACCTTCCTTTAGACAGAGCAGATTTGAAACACTCTTTTTGTGGAATTTGCAAGTGGAGATTTCAAGCGCTTCGATGCCAATGGTAGAAAAGGAAATATCTTCGTATAAAAACAAGACAAACTCGTTCCCAGACACTGCGTAGTGATGTGTGTGTTTAACTCACAGCAGTTTCACCTTTCTTTTCATACAGCATTCTGGAAACCCTCTGTTTGTAAAGTCTGCAAGTGGATATTTGGACCTCTTAGATGCCTTCGTTGGAAACGGGATTTCTTCATATAATGCTAGAGGGAAGAATTCTTAGTAACTTCTTTGTGTTGTGTGTATTCAACTGACAGAGTTGAACCTTCCTTTAGACAGAGCAGATTTGAAAGTCTCTTTTTGTGGAATTTGCAAGTGGAGATTTCAAGCGCTTTGAGGCCAAAAGCAGAAAAGGAAATATTTTCCTATAAAAACTCGACAGAATCTTTCTCAGAAACTGCTCTGGGATGTGTGCGTTCAACTCACAGAGTTTAACTTTTCTTTTCATTCAGCAGTTTGGAAACACTCTGTTTGGAAAGTCTGCACGTGGATATTTTGACCTCTTTGAGGCCTTCGTTGGAAACGGGTTTTTTTCATGTAAGGCTAGACAGAAGAAATCTCAGTAACTTCCTTGTGTTGTGTGTATTCAACTGACAGAGTTGAACCTTCCTTTAGACAGAGCAGATTCGAAACACTCTTTTTCTGCAATTTGCAAGTGGAGACTTCAAGCGCTTTGAGGCCAAAGGCAGAAAAGGAAATATCTTCGTATAAAAACCCGACAGAATCATTCTCAGAAACTGCTCTGTGATGTGTGCGTTCAACTCACAGAGTTTAACTTTTCTTTTCATTCAGCAGTTTGGAAACACTCTGTTTGTAAAGTCTGCAAGTGGATATCTTGGCCTCTTAGAGGCCTTCGTTGGAAACGGGTTTTTTCATGTAAGGTTAGACAGAGGAATTCCCAGTAACTTCCTTGTGTTGTGTGCATTCAACTCACAGAGTTGAATGATTCTTTACACAGAGCAGATTTGAGACACTCTTTTGGTGGAATTTGTAAGTGGAGAATTCAGCCGCTTTGAGGTCAACGGTAGAAAAGGAAATATCTTCGTATAAAAACTAGACAGAATGATTCTCAGAAACTGTTTTGTGATGTGTGCGTTCAACTCACAGAGTTTAACCTTTCTTTTCAAAGAGCAGTTAGGAAACACTCTGTTTGTAAAGTCTGCAAGTGGATATTCAGACCTCTTTGAGGCCTTCGTTGGAAACGGGATTTCTTCATATTATGCTAGACAGATGAATTCTCAGTAACTTCCTTGTGTTGTGTGTATTCAACTCACAGAGTTGAACGATCCTTTACACAGAGCAGATTTGAAACACTGTTTTTCTGGAATTTGCAAGTGGAGATTTCAGCCGCTTTGAGGTCAATGGTAGAAAAGGAAATATCTTCGTATAAAAACTAGACAGAATGATTCTCAGAAACTCCTTTGTGATGTGTGCGTTCAACTCACAGAGTTTAACCTTTCTTTTCACAGAGCAGTTAGGAAACACTCTGTTTGTGAAGCCTGCCAGTGGATATTCGGACCTCTTTGAGGCCTTCGTTGGAAACGGGATTTCTTCATATTATGCTAGACAGAAGATTTCTCAGTAACTTCTTTGTGTTGTGTGTATGCAACTCACAGAGTTCAACCTTCCTTTAGACAGAGCAGATTTGAAACACTCTTTTTGTGGAATTTGCAAGTGGAGATTTCAAGCGCTTCGATGCCAATGGTAGAAAAGGAAATATCTTCGTATAAAAACAAGACAAACTCGTTCCCAGACACTGCGTAGTGATATGTGTGTTTAACTCACAGAGTTTAACCTTTCTTTTCATACAGCATTCTGGAAACCCCCTGTTTGTAAAGTCTGCAAGTGGATATTTGGACCTCTTAGATGCCTTCGTTGGGAACGGGATTTCTTCATATAATGCTAGAGGGAAGAATTCTTAGTAACTTCTTTGTGTTGTGTGTATTCAACTGACAGAGTTGAACCTTCCTTTAGACAGAGCAGATTTGAAAGTCTCTTTTTGTGGAATTTGCAAGTGGAGATTTCAAGCGCTTTGAGGCCAAAAGCAGAAAAGGAAATATTTTCCTATAAAAACTAGACAGAATCTTTCTCAGAAACTGCTCTGGGATGTGTGCGTTCAACTCACAGAGTTTAACTTTTCTTTTCATTCAGCAGTTTGGAAACACTCTGTTTGGAAAGTCTGCACGTGGATATTTTGACCTCTTTGAGGCCTTCGTTGGAAACGGGTTTTTTTCATGTAAGGCTAGACAGAAGAAATCTCAGTAACTTCCTTGTGTTGTGTGTATTCAACTGACAGAGTTGAACCTTCCTTTAGACAGAGCAGATTCGAAACACTCTTTTTCTGCAATTTGCAAGTGGAGACTTCAAGCGCTTTGAGGCCAAAGGCAGAAAAGGAAATATCTTCGTATAAAAACCCGACAGAATCATTCTCAGAAACTGCTCTGTGATGTGTGCGTTCAACTCACAGAGTTTAACTTTTCTTTTCATTCAGCAGTTTGGAAACACTCTGTTTGTAAAGTCTGCAAGTGGATATCTTGGCCTCTTAGAGGCCTTCGTTGGAAACGGGTTTTTTCATGTAAGGATAGACACAGGAATTCCCAGTAACTTCCTTGTGTTGTGTGCATTCAACTCACAGAGTTGAATGATTCTTTACACAGAGCAGATTTGAGACACTCTTTTGGTGGAATTTGTAAGTGGAGAATTCAGCCGCTTTGAGGTCAACGGTAGAAAAGGAAATATCTTCGTATAAAAACTAGACAGAATGATTCTCAGAAACTGTTTTGTGATGTGTGCGTTCAACTCACAGAGTTTAACCTTTCTTTTCAAAGAGCAGTTAGGAAACACTCTGTTTGTAAAGTCTGCAAGTGGATATTCAGACCTCTTTGAGGCCTTCGTTGGAAACGGGATTTCTTCATATTATGCTAGACAGATGAATTCTCAGTAACTTCCTTGTGTTGTGTGTATTCAACTCACAGAGTTGAACGATCCTTTACACAGAGCAGATTTGAAACACTGTTTTTCTGGAATTTGCAAGTGGAGATTTCAGCCGCTTTGAGGTCAATGGTAGAAAAGGAAATATCTTCGTATAAAAACTAGACAGAATGATTCTCAGAAACTCCTTTGTGATGTGTGCGTTCAACTCACAGAGTTTAACCTTTCTTTTCACAGAGCAGTTAGGAAACACTCTGTTTGTGAAGCCTGCCAGTGGATATTCGGACCTCTTTGAGGCCTTCGTTGGAAACGGGATTTCTTCATATTATGCTAGACAGAAGATTTCTCAGTAACTTCTTTGGGTTGTGTGTATGCAACTCACAGAGTTCAACCTTCCTTTAGACAGAGCAGATTTGAAACACTCTTTTTGTGGAATTTGCAAGTGGAGATTTCAAGCGCTTCGATGCCAATGGTAGAAAAGGAAATATCTTCGTATAAAAACAAGACAAACTCGTTCCCAGACACTGCGTAGTGATGTGTGTGTTTAACTCACAGAGTTTAACCTTTCTTTTCATACAGCATTCTGGAAACCCTGTGTTTGTAAAGTCTGCAAGTGGATATTTGGACCTCTTAGATGCCTTCGTTGGAAACGGGATTTCTTCATATAATGCTAGAGGGAAGAATTCTTAGTAACTTCTTTGTGTTGTGTGTATTCAACTGACAGAGTTGAACCTTCCTTTAGACAGAGCAGATTTGAAAGTCTCTTTTTGTGGAATTTGCAAGTGGAGATTTCAAGCGCTTTGAGGCCAAAAGCAGAAAAGGAAATATTTTCCTATAAAAACTAGACAGAATCTTTCTCAGAAACTGCTCTGGGATGTGTGCGTTCAACTCACAGAGTTTAACTTTTCTTTTCATTCAGCAGTTTGGAAACACTCTGTTTGGAAAGTCTGCACGTGGATATTTTGACCTCTTTGAGGCCTTCGTTGGAAACGGGTTTTTTTCATGTAAGGCTAGACAGAAGAAATCTCAGTAACTTCCTTGTGTTGTGTGTATTCAACTGACAGAGTTGAACCTTCCTTTAGACAGAGCAGATTCGAAACACTCTTTTTCTGCAATTTGCAAGTGGAGACTTCAAGCGCTTTGAGGCCAAAGGCAGAAAAGGAAATATCTTCGTATAAAAACCCGACAGAATCATTCTCAGAAACTGCTCTGTGATGTGTGCGTTCAACTCACAGAGTTTAACTTTTCTTTTCATTCAGCAGTTTGGAAACACTCTGTTTGTAAAGTCTGCAAGTGGATATCTTGGCCTCTTAGAGGCCTTCGTTGGAAACGGGTTTTTTCATGTAAGGTTAGACAGAGGAATTCCCAGTAACTTCCTTGTGTTGTGTGCATTCAACTCACAGAGTTGAATGATTCTTTACACAGAGCAGATTTGAGACACTCTTTTGGTGGAATTTGTAAGTGGAGAATTCAGCCGCTTTGAGGTCAACGGTAGAAAAGGAAATATCTTCGTATAAAAACTAGACAGAATGATTCTCAGAAACTGTTTTGTGATGTGTGCGTTCAACTCACAGAGTTTAACCTTTCTTTTCAAAGAGCAGTTAGGAAACACTCTGTTTGTAAAGTCTGCAAGTGGATATTCAGACCTCTTTGAGGCCTTCGTTGGAAACGGGATTTCTTCATATTATGCTAGACAGATGAATTCTCAGTAACTTCCTTGTGTTGTGTGTATTCAACTCACAGAGTTGAACGATCCTTTACACAGAGCAGATTTGAAACACTGTTTTTCTGGAATTTGCAAGTGGAGATTTCAGCCGCTTTGAGGTCAACGGTAGAAAAGGAAATATCTTCGTATAAAAACTAGACAGAATGATTCTCAGAAACTCCTTTGTGATGTGTGCGTTCAACTCACAGAGTTTAACCTTTCTTTTCACAGAGCAGTTAGGAAACACTCTGTTTGTGAAGCCTGCCAGTGGATATTCGGACCTCTTTGAGGCCTTCGTTGGAAACGGGATTTCTTCATATTATGCTAGACAGAAGATTTCTCAGTAACTTCTTTGTGTTGTGTGTATGCAACTCACAGAGTTCAACCTTCCTTTAGACAGAGCAGATTTGAAACACTCTTTTTGTGGAATTTGCAAGTGGAGATTTCAAGCGCTTCGATGCCAATGGTAGAAAAGGAAATATCTTCGTATAAAAACAAGACAAACTCGTTCCCAGACACTGCGTAGTGATGTGTGTGTTTAACTCACAGAGTTTCACCTTTCTTTTCATACAGCATTCTGGAAACCCTCTGTTTGTAAAGTCTGCAAGTGGATATTTGGACCTCTTAGATGCCTTCGTTGGAAACGGGATTTCTTCATATAATGCTAGAGGGAAGAATTCTTAGTAACTTCTTTGTGTTGTGTGTATTCAACTGACAGAGTTGAAGCTTCCTTTAGACAGAGCAGATTTGAAAGTCTCTTTTTGTGGAATTTGCAAGTGGAGATTTCAAGCGCTTTGAGGCCAAAAGCAGAAAAGGAAATATTTTCCTATAAAAACTAGACAGAATCTTTCTCAGAAACTGCTCTGGGATGTGTGCGTTCAACTCACAGAGTTTAACTTTTCTTTTCATTCAGCAGTTTGGAAACACTCTGTTTGGAAAGTCTGCACGTGGATATTTTGACCTCTTTGAGGCCTTCGTTGGAAACGGGTTTTTTTCATGTAACGCTAGACAGAAGAAATCTCAGTAACTTCCTTGTGTTATGTGTATTCAACTGACAGAGTTGAACCTTCCTTTAGACAGAGCAGATTCGAAACACTCTTTTTCTGCAATTTGCAAGTGGAGACTTCAAGCGCTTTGAGGCCAAAGGCAGAAAAGGAAATATCTTCGTATAAAAACCCGACAGAATCATTCTCAGAAACTGCTCTGTGATGTGTGCGTTCAACTCACAGAGTTTAACTTTTCTTTTCATTCAGCAGTTTGGAAACACTCTGTTTGTAAAGTCTGCAAGTGGATATCTTGGCCTCTTAGAGGCCTTCGTTGGAAACGGGTTTTTTCATGTAAGGTTAGACAGAGGAATTCCCAGTAACTTCCTTGTGTTGTGTGCATTCAACTCACAGAGTTGAATGATTCTTTACACAGAGCAGATTTGAGACACTCTTTTGGTGGAATTTGTAAGTGGAGAATTCAGCCGCTTTGAGGTCAACGGTAGAAAAGGAAATATCTTCGTATAAAAACTAGACAGAATGATTCTCAGAAACTGTTTTGTGATGTGTGCGTTCAACTCACAGAGTTTAACCTTTCTTTTCAAAGAGCAGTTAGGAAACACTCTGTTTGTAAAGTCTGCAAGTGGATATTCAGACCTCTTTGAGGCCTTCGTTGGAAACGGGATTTCTTCATATTATGCTAGACAGATGAATTCTCAGTAACTTCCTTGTGTTGTGTGTATTCAACTCACAGAGTTGAACGATCCTTTACACAGAGCAGATTTGAAACACTGTTTTTCTGGAATTTGCAAGTGGAGATTTCAGCCGCTTTGAGGTCAATGGTAGAAAAGGAAATATCTTCGTATAAAAACTAGACAGAATGATTCTCAGAAACTCCTTTGTGATGTGTGCGTTCAACTCACAGAGTTTAACCTTTCTTTTCACAGAGCAGTTAGGAAACACTCTGTTTGTGAAGCCTGCCAGTGGATATTCGGACCTCTTTGAGGCCTTCGTTGGAAACGGGATTTCTTCATATTATGCTAGACAGAAGATTTCTCAGTAACTTCTTTGTGTTGTGTATATGCAACTCACAGAGTTCAACCTTCCTTTAGACAGAGCAGATTTGAAACACTCTTTTTGTGGAATTTGCAAGTGGAGATTTCAAGCGCTTCGATGCCAATGGTAGAAAAGGAAATATCTTCGTATAAAAACAAGACAAACTCGTTCCCAGACACTGCGTAGTGATGTGTGTGTTTAACTCACAGAGTTTCACCTTTCTTTTCATACAGCATTCTGGAAACCCTGTGTTTGTAAAGTCTGCAAGTGGATATTTGGACCTCTTAGATGCCTTCGTTGGAAACGGGATTTCTTCATATAATGCTAGAGGGAAGAATTCTTAGTAACTTCTTTGTGTTGTGTGTATTCAACTGACAGAGTTGAACCTTCCTTTAGACAGAGCAGATTTGAAAGTCTCTTTTTGTGGAATTTGCAAGTGGAGATTTCAAGCGCTTTGAGGCCAAAAACAGAAAAGGAAATATTTTCCTATAAAAACTCGACAGAATCTTTCTCAGAAACTGCTCTGGGATGTGTGCGTTCAACTCACAGAGTTTAACTTTTCTTTTCATTCAGCAGTTTGGAAACACTCTGTTTGGAAAGTCTGCACGTGGATATTTTGACCTCTTTGAGGCCTTCGTTGGAAACGGGTTTTTTTCATGTAAGGCTAGACAGAAGAAATCTCAGTAACTTCCTTGTGTTGTGTGTATTCAACTGACAGAGTTGAACCTTCCTTTAGACAGAGCAGATTCGAAACACTCTTTTTCTGCAATTTGCAAGTGGAGACTTCAAGCGCTTTGAGGCCAAAGGCAGAAAAGGAAATATCTTCGTATAAAAACCCGACAGAATCATTCTCAGAAACTGCTCTGTGATGTGTGCGTTCAACTCACAGAGTTTAACTTTTCTTTTCATTCAGCAGTTTGGAAACACTCTGTTTGTAAAGTCTGCAAGTGGATATCTTGGCCTCTTAGAGGCCTTCGTTGGAAACGCGTTTTTTCATGTAAGGATAGACAGAGGAATTCCCAGTAACTTCCTTGTGTTGTGTGCATTCAACTCACAGAGTTGAATGATTCTTTACACAGAGCAGATTTGAGACACTCTTTGGGTGGAATTTGTAAGTGGAGAATTCAGCCGCTTTGAGGTCAACGGTAGAAAAGGAAATATCTTCGTATAAAAACTAGACAGAATGATTCTCAGAAACTGTTTTGTGATGTGTGCGTTCAACTCACAGAGTTTAACCTTTCTTTTCAAAGAGCAGTTAGGAAACACTCTGTAAAGTCTGCAAGTGGATATTCAGACCTCTTTGAGGCCTTCGTTGGAAACGGGATTTCTTCATATTATGCTAGACAGATGAATTCTCAGTAACTTCCTTGTGTTGTGTGTATTCAACTCACAGAGTTGAACGATCCTTTACACAGAGCAGATTTGAAACACTGTTTTTCTGGAATTTGCAAGTGGAGATTTCAGCCGCTTTGAGGTCAATGGTAGAAAAGGAAATATCTTCGTATAAAAACTAGACAGAATGATTCTCAGAAACTCCTTTGTGATGTGTGCGTTCAACTCACAGAGTTTAACCTTTCTTTTCACAGAGCAGTTAGGAAACACTCTGTTTGTGAAGCCTGCCAGTGGATATTCGGACCTCTTTGAGGCCTTCGTTGGAAACGGGATTTCTTCATATTATGCTAGACAGAAGATTTCTCAGTAACTTCTTTGTGTTGTGTGTATGCAACTCACAGAGTTCAACCTTCCTTTAGACAGAGCAGATTTGAAACACTCTTTTTGTGGAATTTGCAAGTGGAGATTTCAAGCGCTTCGATGCCAATGGTAGAAAAGGAAATATCTTCGTATAAAAACAAGACAAACTCGTTCCCAGACACTGCGTAGTGATGTGTGTGTTTAACTCACAGAGTTTCACCTTTCTTTTCATACAGCATTCTGGAAACCCTCTGTTTGTAAAGTCTGCAAGTGGATATTTGGACCTCTTAGATGCCTTCGTTGGAAACGGGATTTCTTCATATAATGCTAGAGGGAAGAATTCTTAGTAACTTCTTTGTGTTGTGTGTATTCAACTGACAGAGTTGAACCTTCCTTTAGACAGAGCAGATTTGAAAGTCTCTTTTTGTGGAATTTGCAAGTGGAGATTTCAAGCGCTTTGAGGCCAAAAGCAGAAAAGGATATATTTTCCTATAAAACTAGACAGAAATCTTTCTCAGCAAACTGCTCTGGGATGTGTGTGTTCAACTCACACAGTTTAACTTTTCTTTTCATTCAGCAGTTTGGAAACACTCTGTTTGGAAAGTCTGCACGTGGATATTTTGACCTCTTTGAGGCCTTCGTTGGAAACGGGTTTTTTTCATGTAAGGCTAGACAGAAGAAATCTCAGTAACTTCCTTGTGTTGTGTGTATTCAACTGACAGAGTTGAACCTTCCTTTAGACAGAGCAGATTCGAAACACTCTTTTTCTGCAATTTGCAAGTGGAGACTTCAAGCGCTTTGAGGCCAAAGGCAGAAAAGGAAATATCTTCGTATAAAAACCCGACAGAATCATTCTCAGAAACTGCTCTGTGATGTGTGCGTTCAACTCACAGAGTTTAACTTTTCTTTTCATTCAGCAGTTTGGAAACACTCTGTTTGTAAAGTCTGCAAGTGGATATCTTGGCCTCTTAGAGGCCTTCGTTGGAAACGGGTTTTTTCATGTAAGGTTAGACAGAGGAATTCCCACTAACTTCCTTGTGTTGTGTGCATTCAACTCACAGAGTTGAATGATTCTTTACACAGAGCAGATTTGAGACACTCTTTTGGTGGAATTTGTAAGTGGAGAATTCAGCCGCTTTGATGTCAACTGTAGAAAAGGAAAGATCTTCCTATAAAAACTAGACAGAATGATTCTCAGAAACTGTTTTGTGATGTGTGCTTTCAACTCACAGAGTTTAACCTTTCTTTTCAAAGAGCAGTTAGGAAACACTCTGTTTGTAAAGTCTGCAAGTGGATATTCAGACCTCTTTGAGGCCTTCGTTGGAAACGGGATTTCTTCATATTATGCTAGACAGATGAATTCTCAGTAACTTCCTTGTGTTGTGTGTATTCAACTCACAGAGTTGAACGATCCTTTACACAGAGCAGATTTGAAACACTGTTTTTCTGGAATTTGCAAGTGGAGATTTCAGCCGCTTTGAGGTCAATGGTAGAAAAGGAAATATCTTCGTATAAAAACTAGACAGAATGATTCTCAGAAACTCCTTTGTGATGTGTGCGTTCAACTCACAGAGTTTAACCTTTCTTTTCACAGAGCAGTTAGGAAACACTCTGTTTGTGAAGCCTGCCAGTGGATATTCGGACCTCTTTGAGGCCTTCGTTGGAAACGGGATTTCTTCATATTATGCTAGACAGAAGATTTCTCAGTAACTTCTTTGGGTTGTGTGTATGCAACTCACAGAGTTCAACCTTCCTTTAGAGAGAGCATATTTGAAACACTCTTTTTGTGGAATTTGCAAGTGGAGATTTCAAGCGCTTCGATGCCAATGGTAGAAAAGGAAATATCTTCGTATAAAAACAAGACAAACTCGTTCCCAGACACTGCGTAGTGATGTGTGTGTTTAACTCACAGAGTTTAACCTTTCTTTTCATACAGCATTCTGGAAACCCTCTGTTTGTAAAGTCTGCAAGTGGATATTTGGACCTCTTAGATGCCTTCGTTGGGAACGGGATTTCTTCATATAATGCTAGAGGGAAGAATTCTTAGTAACTTTTTTGTGTTGTGTGTATTCAACTGACAGAGTTGAACCTTCCTTTAGACAGAGCAGATTTGAAAGTCTCTTTTTGTGGAATTTGCAAGTG
The DNA here is from genome assembly GCF_000001405.40 of Homo sapiens. Classification (NCBI taxonomy): domain Eukaryota; kingdom Metazoa; phylum Chordata; class Mammalia; order Primates; family Hominidae; genus Homo; species Homo sapiens. Next base: position 36,453,092 of record NC_000016.10, read on the forward strand.
GAGATTTCAAGCGCTTTGAGGCCAAAAGCAGAAAAGGAAATATTTTCCTATAAAAACTAGACAGAATCTTTCTCAGAAACTGCTCTGGGATGTGTGCGTTCAACTCACAGAGTTTAACTATTCTTTCCATTCAGCAGTTTGGAAACACTCTGTTTGGAAAGTCTGCACGTGGATATTTTGACCTCTTTGAGGCCTTCGTTGGAAACGGGTTTTTTTCATGTAAGGCTAGACAGAAGAAATCTCAGTAACTTCCTTGTGTTGTGTGTATTCAACTGACAGAGTTGAACCTTCCTTTAGACAGAGCAGATTCGAAACACTCTTTTTCTGCAATTTGCAAGTGGAGACTTCAAGCGCTTTGAGGCCAAAGGCAGAAAAGGAAATATCTTCGTATAAAAACCCGACAGAATCATTCTCAGAAACTGCTCTGTGATGTGTGCGTTCAACTCACAGAGTTTAACTTTTCTTTTCATTCAGCAGTTTGGAAACACTCTGTTTGTAAAGTCTGCAAGTGGATATCTTGGCCTCTTAGAGGCCTTCGTTGGAAACGGGTTTCTTCATGTAAGGTTAGACAGAGGAATTCCCAGTAACTTCCTTGTGTTGTATGCATTCAACTCACAGAGTTGAATGATTCTTTACACAGAGCAGATTTGAGACACTCTTTTGGTGGAATTTGTAAGTGGAGAATTCAGCCGCTTTGAGGTCAACGGTAGAAAAGGAAATATCTTCGTATAAAAACTAGAAAGAATGATTCTCAGAAACTGTTTTGTGATGTGTGCGTTCAACTCACAGAGTTTAACCTTTCTTTTCAAAGAGCAGTTAGGAAACACTCTGTTTGTAAAGTCTGCAAGTGGATATTCAGACCTCTTTGAAGCCTTCGTTGGAAACGGGATTTCATCATATTATGCTAGACAGATGAATTCTCAGTAACTTCCTTGTGTTGTGTGTATTCAACTCACAGAGTTGAACGATCCTTTACACAGAGCAGATTTGAAACACTGTTTTTCTGGAATTTGCAAGTGGAGATTTCAGCCGCTTTGAGGTCAATGGTAGAAAAGGAAATATCTTCGTATAAAAACTGGACAGAATGATTCTCAGAAACTCCTTTGTGATGTGTGCGTTCAACTCACAGAGTTTAACCTTTCTTTTCACAGAGCAGTTAGGAAACACTCTGTTTGTGAAGCCTGCCAGTGGATATTCGGACCTCTTTGAGGCCTTCGTTGGAAACGGGATTTCTTCATATTTTGCTAGACAGAAGATTTCTCAGTAACTTCTTTGTGTTGTGTGTATGCAACTCACAGAGTTCAACCTTCCTTTAGACAGAGCAGATTTGAAACACTCTTTTTGTGGAATTTGCAAGTGGAAATTTCAAGCGCATCGATGCCAATGGTAGAAAAGGAAATATCTTCGTATAAAAACAAGACAAACTCGTTCCCAGACACTGCGTAGTGATGTGTGTGTTTAACTCACAGAGTTTAACCTTTCTTTTCATACAGCATTCTGGAAACCCTGTGTTTGTAAAGTCTGCAAGTGGATATTTGGACCTCTTAGATGCCTTCGTTGGAAACGGGATTTCTTCATATAATGCTAGAGGGAAGAATTCTTAGTAACTTCTTTGTGTTGTGTGTATTCAACTGACAGAGTTGAACCTTCCTTTAGACAGAGCAGATTTGAAAGTCTCTTTTTGTGCAATTTGCAAGTGGAGATTTCAAGCGCTTTGAGGCCAAAAGCAGAAAAGGAAATATTTTCCTATAAAAACTCGACAGAATCATTCTCAGAAACTGCTCTGTGATGTGTGCGTTCAACTCACAGAGTTTAACTTTTCTTTTCATTCAGCAGTTTGGAAACACTGTTTGGAAAGTCTGCACGTGGATATTTTGACCTCTTTGAGGCCTTCGTTGGAAACGGGTTTTTTTCATGTAAGGCTAGACAGAAGAAATCTCAGTAACTTCCTTGTGTTGTGTGTATTCAACTGACAGAGTTGAACCTTCCTTTAGACAGAGCAGATTCGAAACACTCTTTTTCTGCAATTTGCAAGTGGAGACTTCAAGCGCTTTGAGGCCAAAGGCAGAAAAGGAAATATCTTCGTATAAAAACCCGACAGAATCATTCTCAGAAACTGCTCTGTGATGTGTGCGTTCAACTCACAGAGTTTAACTTTTCTTTTCATTCAGCAGTTTGGAAACACTCTGTTTGTAAAGTCTGCAAGTGGATATCTTGGCCTCTTAGAGGCCTTCGTTGGAAACGGGTTTTTTCATGTAAGGTTAGACAGAGGAATTCCCAGTAACTTCCTTGTGTTGTGTGTATTCAACTCACAGAGTTGAATGATTCTTTACACAGAGCAGATTTGAGACACTCTTTTGGTGGAATTTGTAAGTGGAGAATTCAGCCGCTTTGAGGTCAACGGTAGAAAAGGAAATATCTTCGTATAAAAACTAGACAGAATGATTCTCAGAAACTGTTTTGTGATGTGTGCGTTCAACTCACAGAGTTTAACCTTTCTTTTCAAAGAGCAGTTAGGAAACACTCTGTTTGTAAAGTCTGCAAGTGGATATTCAGACCTCTTTGAGGCCTTCGTTGGAAACGGGATTTCTTCATATTATGCTAGACAGATGAATTCTCAGTAACTTTCCTTGTGTTGTGTGTATTCAACTCACAGAGTTGAACGATCCTTTACACAGAGCAGATTTGAAACACTGTTTTTCTGGAATTTGCAAGTGGAGATTTCAGCCGCTTTGAGGTCAATGGTAGAAAAGGAAATATGCTTCGTATAAAAACTAGACAGAATGATTCTCAGAAACTCCTTTGTGATGTGTGCGTTCAACTCACAGAGTTTAACCTTTCTTTTCATAGTGCAGTTAGGAAACACTCTGTTTATAAAGTCTGCAAGTGGATATTCAGACCTCTTTGAGGCCTTCGTTGGAAACGGGATTTCTTCATATTCTGCTAGACAGATGAATTCTCAGAAACTTCCTTGTGTTGTGTGTATTCAACTCACAGTAGTTGAACGATCCTTTACACAGAGCAGATTTGAAACACTGTTTTTCTGGAATTTGCAAGTGGAGATTTCAGCCGCTTTGAGGTCAATGGTAGAAAAGGAAATATCTTCGTATAAAAACTGGACAGAGTGATTCTCAGAAACTTCTTTGTGATGTGTGCGTTCAACTCACAGAGTTTAACCTTTGTTTTCACAGAGCAGTTAGGAAACACTCTGTTTGTGAAGCCTGCCAGTGGATATTCGGACCTCTTTGAGGCCTTCGTTGGAAACGGGATTTCTTCATATTATGCTATTCAGAAGATTTCTCAGTAACTTCTTTGTGTTGTGTGTATGCAACTCACAGAGTTCAACCTTCCTTTAGACAGAGCAGATTTGAAACACTCTTTTTGTGGAATTTGCAAGTGGAGATTTCAAGCGCTTCGATGCCAATGGTAGAAAAGGAAATATCTTCGTTTAAAAACAAGACAAACTCGTTCCCAGACACTGCGTAGTGATGTGTGTGTTTAACTCACAGCAGTTTCACCTTTCTTTTCATACAGCATTCTGGAAACCCTCTGTTTGTAAAGTCTGCAAGTGGATATTTGGACCTCTTAGATGCCTTCGTTGGAAACGGGATTTCTTCATATAATGCTAGAGGGAAGAATTCTTAGTAACTTCTTTGTGTTGTGTGTATTCAACTGACAGAGTTGAACCTTCCTTTAGACAGAGCAGATTTGAAAGTCTCTTTTTGTGGAATTTGCAAGTGGAGATTTCAAGCGCTTTGAGGCCAAAAGCAGAAAAGGAAATATTTTCCTATAAAAACTCGACAGAATCTTTCTCAGAAACTGCTGTGGGATGTGTGCGTTCAACTCACAGAGTTTAACTTTTCTTTTCATTCAGCAGTTTGGAAACACTCTGTTTGGAAAGTCTGCACGTGGATATTTTGACCTCTTTGAGGCCTTCGTTGGAAACGGGTTTTTTTCATGTAAGGCTAGACAGAAGAAATCTCAGTAACTTCCTTGTGTTGTGTGTATTCAACTGACAGAGTTGAACCTTCCTTTAGACAGAGCAGATTCGAAACACTCTTTTTCTGCAATTTGCAAGTGGAGACTTCAAGCGATTTGAGGCCAAAGGCAGAAAAGGAAATATCTTCGTATAAAAACCCGACAGAATCATTCTCAGAAACTGCTCTGTGATGTGTGCGTTCAACTCACAGAGTTTAACTTTTCTTTTCATTCAGCAGTTTGGAAACACTCTGTTTGTAAAGTCTGCAAGTGGATATCTTGGCCTCTTAGAGGCCTTCGTTGGAAACGGGTTTTTTCATGTAAGGATAGACAGAGGAATTCCCAGTAACTTCCTTCTGTTGTGTGCATTCAACTCACAGAGTTGAATGATTCTTTACACAGAGCAGATTTGAGACACTCTTTTGGTGGAATTTGTAAGTGGAGAATTCAGCCGCTTTGAGGTCAACGGTAGAAAAGGAAATATCTTCGTATAAAAACTAGACAGAATGATTCTCAGAAACTGTTTTGTGATGTGTGCGTTCAACTCACAGAGTTTAACCTTTCTTTTCAAAGAGCAGTTAGGAAACACTCTGTTTGTAAAGTCTGCAAGTGGATATTCAGACCTCTTTGAGGCCTTCGTTGGAAACGGGATTTCTTCATATTATGCTAGACAGATGAATTCTCAGTAACTTCCTTGTGTTGTGTGTATTCAACTCACAGAGTTGAACGATCCTTTACACAGAGCAGATTTGAAACACTGTTTTTCTGGAATTTGCAAGTGGAGATTTCAGCCGATTTGAGGTCAATGGTAGAAAAGGAAATATCTTCGTATAAAAACTAGACAGAATGATTCTCAGAAACTCCTTTGTGATGTGTGCGTTCAACTCACAGAGTTTAACCTTTCTTTTCACAGAGCAGTTAGGAAACACTCTGTTTGTGAAGCCTGCCAGTGGATATTCGGACCTCTTTGAGGCCTTCGTTGGAAACGGGATTTCTTCATATTATGCTAGACAGAAGATTTCTCAGTAACTTCTTTGTGTTGTGTGTATGCAACTCACAGAGTTCAACCTTCCTTTAGACAGAGCAGATTTGAAACACTCTTTTTGTGGAATTTGCAAGTGGAGATTTCAAGCGCTTCGATGCCAATGGTAGAAAAGGAAATATCTTCGTATAAAAACAAGACAAACTCGTTCCCAGACACTGCCTAGTGATGTGTGTGTTTAACTCACAGAGTTTAACCTTTCTTTTCATACAGCATTCTGGAAACCCTGTGTTTGTAAAGTCTGCAAGTGGATATTTGGACCTCTTAGATGCCTTCGTTGGAAACGGGATTTCTTCATATAATGCTAGAGGGAAGAATTCTTAGTAACTTCTTTGTGTTGTGTGTATTCAACTGACAGAGTTGAACCTTCCTTTAGACAGAGCAGATTTGAAAGTCTCTTTTTGTGGAATTTGCAAGTGGAGATTTCAAGCGCTTTGAGGCCAAAAGCAGAAAAGGAAATATTTTCCTATAAAAACTCGACAGAATCTTTCTCAGAAACTGCTCTGGGATGTGTGCGTTCAACTCACAGAGTTTAACTTTTCTTTTCATTCAGCAGTTTGGAAACACTCTGTTTGGAAAGTCTGCACGTGGATATTTTGACCTCTTTGAGGCCTTCGTTGGAAACGGGTTTTTTTCATGTAAGGCTAGACAGAAGAAATCTCAGTAACTTCCTTGTGTTGTGTGTATTCAACTGACAGAGTTGAACCTTCCTTTAGACAGAGCAGATTCGAAACACTCTTTTTCTGCAATTTGCAAGTGGAGACTTCAAGCGCTTTGAGGCCAAAGGCAGAAAAGGAAATATCTTCGTATAAAAACCCGACAGAATCATTCTCAGAAACTGCTCTGTGATGTGTGCGTTCAACTCACAGAGTTTAACTTTTCTTTTCATTCAGCAGTTTGGAAACACTCTGTTTGTAAAGTCTGCAAGTGGATATCTTGGCCTCTTAGAGGCCTTCGTTGGAAACGGGTTTTTTCATGTAAGGTTAGACAGAGGAATTCCCAGTAACTTCCTTGTGTTGTGTGCATTCAACTCACAGAGTTGAATGATTCTTTACACAGAGCAGATTTGAGACACTCTTTTGGTGGAATTTGTTAGTGGAGAATTCAGCCGCTTTGAGGTCAACGGTAGAAAAGGAAATATCTTCGTATAAAAACTAGACAGAATGATTCTCAGAAACTGTTTTGTGATGTGTGCGTTCAACTCACAGAGTTTAACCTTTCTTTTCAAAGAGCAGTTAGGAAACACTCTGTTTGTAAAGTCTGCAAGTGGATATTCAGACCTCTTTGAGGCCTTCGTTGGAAACGGGATTTCTTCATATTATGCTAGACAGATGAATTCTCAGTAACTTCCTTGTGTTGTGTGTATTCAACTCACAGAGTTGAACGATCCTTTACACAGAGCAGATTTGAAACACTGTTTTTCTGGAATTTGCAAGTGGAGATTTCAGCCGCTTTGAGGTCAATGGTAGAAAAGGAAATATCTTCGTATAAAAACTGGACAGAATGATTCTCAGAAACTCCTTTGTGATGTGTGCGTTCAACTCACAGAGTTTAACCTTTCTTTTCACAGAGCAGTTAGGAAACACTCTGTTTGTGAATCCTGCCAGTGGATATTCGGACCTCTTTGAGGCCTTCGTTGGAAACGGGATTTCTTCATATTATGCTAGACAGAAGATTTCTCAGTAACTTCTTTGTGTTGTGTGTATGCAACTCACAGAGTTCAACCTTCCTTTAGACAGAGCAGATTTGAAACACTCTTTTTGTGGAATTTGCAAGTGGAGATTTCAAGCGCTTCGATGCCAATGGTAGAAAAGGAAATATCTTCGTATAAAAACAAGACAAACTCGTTCCCAGACACTGCGTAGTGATGTGTGTGTTTAACTCACAGAGTTTAACCTTTCTTTTCATACAGCATTCTGGAAACCCTCTGTTTGTAAAGTCTGCAAGTGGATATTTGGACCTCTTAGATGCCTTCGTTGGAAACGGGATTTCCTCATATAATGCTAGAGGGAAGAATTCTTAGTAACTTCTTTGTGTTGTGTGTATTCAACTGACAGAGTTGAACCTTCCTTTAGACAGAGCAGATTTGAAAGTCTCTTTTTGTGGAATTTGCAAGTGGAGATTTCAAGCGCTTTGAGGCCAAAAGCAGAAAAGGAAATATTTTCCTATAAAAACTAGACAGAATCTTTCTCAGAAACTGCTCTGGGATGTGTGCGTTCAACTCACAGAGTTTAACTTTTCTTTTCATTCAGCAGTTTGGAAACACTCTGTTTGGAAAGTCTGCACGTGGATATTTTGACCTCTTTGAGGCCTTCGTTGGAAACGGGTTTTTTTCATGTAAGGCTAGACAGAAGAAATCTCAGTAACTTCCTTGTGTTGTGTGTATTCAACTGACAGAGTTGAACCTTCCTTTAGACAGAGCAGATTCGAAACACTCTTTTTCTGCAATTTGCAAGTGGAGACTTCAAGCGCTTTGAGGCCAAAGGCAGAAAAGGAAATATCTTCGTATAAAAACCCGACAGAATCATTCTCAGAAACTGCTCTGTGATGTGTGCGTTCAACTCACAGAGTTTAACTTTTCTTTTCATTCAGCAGTTTGGAAACACTCTGTTTGTAAAGTCTGCAAGTGGATATCTTGGCCTCTTAGAGGCCTTCGTTGGAAACGGGTTTTTTCATGTAAGGTTAGACAGAGGAATTCCCAGTAACTTCCTTGTGTTGTGTGCATTCAACTCACAGAGTTGAATGATTCTTTACACAGAGCAGATTTGAGACACTCTTTTGGTGGAATTTGTAAGTGGAGAATTCAGCCGCTTTGAGGTCAACGGTAGAAAAGGAAGTATCTTCGTATAAAAACTAGACAGAATGATTCTCAGAAACTGTTTTGTGATGTGTGCGTTCAACTCACAGAGTTTAACCTTTCTTTTCAGAGAGCAGTTAGGAAACACTCTGTTTGTAAAGTCTGCAAGTGGATATTCAGACCTCTTTGAGGCCTTCGTTGGAAACGGGATTTCTTCATATTATGCTAGACAGATGAATTCTCAGTAACTTCCTTGTGTTGTGTGTATTCAACTCACAGAGTTGAACGATCCTTTACACAGAGCAGATTTGAAACACTGTTTTTCTGGAATTTGCAAGTGGAGATTTCAGCCGCTTTGAGGTCAATGGTAGAAAAGGAAATATCTTCGTATAAAAACTAGACAGAATGATTCTCAGAAACTCCTTTGTGATGTGTGCGTTCAACTCACAGAGTTTAACCTTTCTTTTCACAGAGCAGTTAGGAAACACTCTGTTTGTGAAGCCTGCCAGTGGATATTCGGACCTCTTTGAGGCCTTCGTTGGAAACGGGATTTCTTCATATTATGATAGACAGAAGACTTCTCAGTAACTTCTTTGTGTTGTGTGTATGCAACTCACAGAGTTCAACCTTCCTTTAGACAGAGCAGATTTGAAACACTCTTTTTGTGGAATTTGCAAGTAGAGATTTCAAGCGCTTCGATGCCAATGGTAGAAAAGGAAATATCTTCGTATAAAAACAAGACAAACTCGTTCCCAGAACACTGCGTAGTGATGTGTGTGTTTAACTCACAGAGTTTCACCTTTCTTTTCATACAGCATTCTGGAAACCCTCTGTTTGTAAAGTCTGCAAGTGGATATTTGGACCTCTTAGATGCCTTCGTTGCAAACGGGATTTCTTCATATAATGCTAGAGGGAAGAATTCTTAGTAACTTCTTTGTGTTGTGTGTATTCAACTGACAGAGTTGAACCTTCCTTTAGACAGAGCAGATTTGAAAGTCTCTTTTTGTGGAATTTGCAAGTGGAGATTTCAAGCGCTTTGAGGCCAAAAGCAGAAAAGGAAATATTTTCCTATAAAAACTAGACAGAATCATTCTCAGAAACTGCTCTGTGATGTGTGCGTTCAACTCACAGAGTTTAACTTTTCTTTTCATTCAGCAGTTTGGAAACACTGTTTGGAAAGTCTGCACGTGGATATTTTGACCTCTTTGAGGCCTTCGTTGGAAACGGGTTTTTTTCATGTAAGGCTAGACAGAAGAAATCTCAGTAACTTCCTTGTGTTGTGTGTATTCAACTGACAGAGTTGAACCTTCCTTTAGACAGAGCAGATTCGAAACACTCTTTTTCTGCAATTTGCAAGTGGAGACTTCAAGCGCTTTGAGGCCAAAGGCAGAAAAGGAAATATCTTCGTATAAAAACCCGACAGAATCATTCTCAGAAACTGCTCTGTGATGTGTGCGTTCAACTCACAGAGTTTAACTTTTCTTTTCATTCAGCAGTTTGGAAACACTCTGTTTGTAAAGTCTGCAAGTGGATATCTTGGCCTCTTAGAGGCCTTCGTTGGAAACGGGTTTTTTCATGTAAGGTTAGACAGAGGAATTCCCAGTAACTTCCTTGTGTTGTGTGCATTCAACTCACAGAGTTGAATGATTCTTTACACAGAGCAGATTTGAGACACTCTTTTGGTGGAATTTGTAAGTGGAGAATTCAGCCGCTTTGAGGTCAACGGTAGAAAAGGAAATATCTTCGTATAAAAACTAGAAAGAATGATTCTCAGAAACTGTTTTGTGATGTGTGCGTTCAACTCACAGAGTTTAACCTTTCTTTTCAAAGAGCAGTTAGGAAACACTCTGTTTGTAAAGTCTGCAAGTGGATATTCAGACCTCTTTGAAGCCTTCGTTGGAAACGGGATTTCTTCATATTATGCTAGACAGATGAATTCTCAGTAACTTCCTTGTGTTGTGTGTATTCAACTCACAGAGTTGAACGATCCTTTACACAGAGCAGATTTGAAACACTGTTTTTCTGGAATTTGCAAGTGGAGATTTCAGCCGCTTTGAGGTCAATGGTAGAAAAGGAAATATCTTCGTATAAAAACTGGACAGAATGATTCTCAGAAACTCCTTTGTGATGTGTGCGTTCAACTCACAGAGTTTAACCTTTCTTTTCACAGAGCAGTTAGGAAACACTCTGTTTGTGAAGCCTGCCAGTGGATATTCGGACCTCTTTGAGGCCTTCGTTGGAAACGGGATTTCTTCATATTTTGCTAGACAGAAGATTTCTCAGTAACTTCTTTGTGTTGTGTGTATGCAACTCACAGAGTTCAACCTTCCTTTAGACAGAGCAGATTTGAAACACTCTTTTTGTGGAATTTGCAAGTGGAAATTTCAAGCACATCGATGCCAATGGTAGAAAAGGAAATATCTTCGTATAAAAACAAGACAAACTCGTTCCCAGACACTGCGTAGTGATGTGTGTGTTTAACTCACAGAGTTTAACCTTTCTTTTCATACAGCATTCTGGAAACCCTCTGTTTGTAAAGTCTGCAAGTGGATATTTGGACCTCTTAGATGCCTTCGTTGGAAACGGGATTTCTTCATATAATGCTAGAGGGAAGAATTCTTAGTAACTTCTTTGTGTTGTGTGTATTCAACTGACAGAGTTGAACCTTCCTTTAGACAGAGCAGATTTGAAAGTCTCTTTTTGTGGAATTTGCAAGTGGAGATTTCAAGCGCTTTGAGGCCAAAAGCAGAAAAGGAAATATTTTCCTATAAAAACTCGACAGAATCTTTCTCAGAAACTGCTCTGGGATGTGTGCGTTCAACTCACAGAGTTTAACTTTTCTTTTCATTCAGCAGTTTGGAAACACTCTGTTTGGAAAGTCTGCACGTGGATATTTTGACCTCTTTGAGGCCTTCGTTGGAAACGGGTTTTTTTCATGTAAGGCTAGACAGAAGAAATCTCAGTAACTTCCTTGTGTTGTGTGTATTCAACTGACAGAGTTGAACCTTCCTTTAGACAGAGCAGATTCGAAACACTCTTTTTCTGCAATTTGCAAGTGGAGACTTCAAGCGCTTTGAGGCCAAAGGCAGAAAAGGAAATATCTTCGTATAAAAACCCGACAGAATCATTCTCAGAAACTGCTCTGTGATGTGTGCGTTCAACTCACAGAGTTTAACTTTTCTTTTCATTCAGCAGTTTGGAAACACTCTGTTTGTAAAGTCTGCAAGTGGATATCTTGGCCTCTTAGAGGCCTTCGTTGGAAACGGGTTTTTTCATGTAAGGATAGACAGAGGAATTCCCAGTAACTTCCTTGTGTTGTGTGCATTCAACTCACAGAGTTGAATGATTCTTTACACAGAGCAGATTTGAGACACTCTTTGGGTGGAATTTGTAAGTGGAGAATTCAGCCGCTTTGAGGTCAACGGTAGAAAAGGAAATATCTTCGTATAAAAACTAGACAGAATGATTCTCAGAAACTGTTTTGTGATGTGTGCGTTCAACTCACAGAGTTTAACCTTTCTTTTCAAAGAGCAGTTAGGAAACACTCTGTTTGTAAAGTCTGCAAGTGGATATTCAGACCTACTTTGAGGCCTTCGTTGGAAACGGGATTTCTTCATATTATGCTAGACAGATGAATTCTCAGTAAGTTCCTTGTGTTGTGTGTATTCAACTCACAGAGTTGAACGATCCTTTACACAGAGCAGATTTGAAACACTGTTTTTCTGGAATTTGCAAGTGGAGATTTCAGCTGCTTTGAGGTCAATGGTAGAAAAGGAAATATCTTCGTATAAAAACTAGACAGAATGATTCTCAGAAACTCCTTTGTGATGTGTGCGTTCAACTCACAGAGTTTAACCTTTCTTTTCACAGAGCAGTTAGGAAACACTCTGTTTGTGAAGCCTGCCAGTGGATATTCGGACCTCTTTGAGGCCTTCGTTGGAAACGGGATTTCTTCATATTATGCTAGACAGAAGATTTCTCAGTAACTTCTTTGTGTTGTGTTGTATACAGCTCACAGAGTTCAACCTTCCTTTAGACAGAGCAGATTTGAAACACTCTTTTTGTGGAATTTGCAAGTGGAAATTTCAAGCGCATCGATGCCAATGGTAGAAAAGGAAATATCTTCGTATAAAAACAAGACAAACTCGTTCCCAGACACTGCGTAGTGATGTGTGTGTTTAACTCACAGAGTTTAACCTTTCTTTTCATACAGCATTCTGGAAACCCTCTGTTTGTAAAGTCTGCAAGTGGATATTTGGACCTCTTAGATGCCTTCGTTGGGAACGGGATTTCTTCATATAATGCTAGAGGGAAGAATTCTTAGTAACTTCTTTGTGTTGTGTGTATTCAACTGACAGAGTTGAACCTTCCTTTAGACAGAGCAGATTTGAAAGTCTCTTTTTGTGGAATTTGCAAGTGGAGATTTCAAGCGCTTTGAGGCCAAAAGCAGAAAAGGAAATATTTTCCTATAAAAACTAGACAGAATCTTTCTCAGAAACTGCTCTGGGATGTGTGTGTTCAACTCACAGAGTTTAACTTTCTTTTCATTCAGCAGTTTGGAAACACTCTGTTTGGAAAGTCTGCACGTGGATATTTTGACCTCTTTGAGGCCTTCGTTGGAAACGGGTTTTTTTCATGTAAGGCTAGACAGAAGAAATCTCAGTAACTTCCTTGTGTTGTGTGTATTCAACTGACAGAGTTGAACCTTCCTTTAGACAGAGCAGATTCGAAACACTCTTTTTCTGCAATTTGCAAGTGGAGACTTCAAGCGCTTTGAGTCCAAAGGCAGAAAAGGAAATATCTACGTATAAAAACCCGACAGAATCTTTCTCAGAAACTGCTCTGTGATGTGTGCGTTCAACTCACAGAGTTTAACTTTTCTTTTCATTCAGCAGTTTGGAAACACTCTGTTTGTAAAGTCTGCAAGTGGATATCTTGGCCTCTTAGAGGCCTTCATTGGAAACGGGTTTTTTCATGTAAGGATAGACAGAGGAATTCCCAGTAACTTCCTTGTGTTGTGTGCATTCAACTCACAGAGTTGAATGATTCTTTACACAGAGCAGATTTGAGACACTCTTTTGGTGGAATTTGTAAGTGGAGAATTCAGCCGCTTTGAGGTCAACGGTAGAAAAGGAAATATCTTCGTATAAAAACTAGACAGAATGATTCTCAGAAACTGTTTTGTGATGTGTGCGTTCAACTCACAGAGTTTAACCTTTCTTTTCAAAGAGCAGTTAGGAAACACTCTGTTTGTAAAGTCTGCAAGTGGATATTCAGACCTCTTTGAGGCCTTCGTTGGAAACGGGATTTCTTCATATTATGCTAGACAGATGAATTCTCAGTAACTTCCTTGTGTTGTGTGTATTCAACTCACAGAGTTGAACGATCCTTTACACAGAGCAGATTTGAAACACTGTTTTTCTGGAATTTGCAAGTGGAGATTTCAGCCGCTTTGAGGTCAATGGTAGAAAAGGAAATATCTTCGTATAAAAACTAGACAGAATGATTCTCAGAAACTCCTTTGTGATGTGTGCGTTCAACTCACAGAGTTTAACCTTTCTTTTCACAGAGCAGTTAGGAAACACTCTGTTTGTGAAGCCTGCCAGTGGATATTCGGACCTCTTTGAGGCCTTCGTTGGAAACGGGATTTCTTCATATTATGCTAGACAGAAGATTTCTCAGTAACTTCTTTGTGTTGTGTGTATGCAACTCACAGAGTTCAACCTTCCTTTAGACAGAGCAGATTTGAAACACTCTTTTTGTGGAATTTGCAAGTGGAGATTTCAAGCGCTTCGATGCCAATGGTAGAAAAGGAAATATCTTCGTATAAAAACAAGACAAACTCGTTCCCAGACACTGCGTAGTGATGTGTGTGTTTAACTCACAGAGTTTAACCTTTCTTTTCATACAGCATTCTGGAAACCCTCTGTTTGTAAAGTCTGCAAGTGGATATTTGGACCTCTTAGATGCCTTCGTTGGGAACGGGATTTCTTCATATAATGCTAGAGGGAAGAATTCTTAGTAACTTCTTTGTGTTGTGTGTATTCAACTGACAGAGTTGAACCTTCCTTTAGACAGAGCAGATTTGAAAGTCTCTTTTTGTGGAATTTGCAAGTGGAGATTTCAAGCGCTTTGAGGCCAAAAGCAGAAAAGGAAATATTTTCCTATAAAAACTAGACAGAATCTTTCTCAGAAACTGCTCTGGGATGTGTGTGTTCAACTCACAGAGTTTAACTTTCTTTTCATTCAGCAGTTTGGAAACACTCTGTTTGGAAAGTCTGCACGTGGATATTTTGACCTCTTTGAGGCCTTCGTTGGAAACGGGTTTTTTTCATGTAAGGCTAGACAGAAGAAATCTCAGTAACTTCCTTGTGTTGTGTGTATTCAACTGACAGAGTTGAACCTTCCTTTAGACAGAGCAGATTCGAAACACTCTTTTTCTGCAATTTGCAAGTGGAGACTTCAAGCGCTTTGAGGCCAAAGGCAGAAAAGGAAATATCTTCGTATAAAAACCCGACAGAATCATTCTCAGAAACTGCTCTGTGATGTGTGCGTTCAACTCACAGAGTTTAACTTTTCTTTTCATTCAGCAGTTTGGAAACACTCTGTTTGTAAAGTCTGCAAGTGGATATCATGGCCTCTTAGAGGCCTTCATTGGAAACGGGTTTTTTCATGTAAGGTTAGACAGAGGAATTCCCAGTAACTTCCTTGTGTTGTGTGCATTCAACTCACAGAGTTGAATGATTCTTTACACAGAGCAGATTTGAGACACTCTTTTGGTGGAATTTGTTAGTGGAGAATTCAGCCGCTTTGAGGTCAACGGTAGAAAAGGTAATATCTTCGTATAAAAACTAGACAGAATGATTCTCAGAAACTGTTTTGTGATGTGTGCGTTCAACTCACAGAGTTTAACCTTTCTTTTCAAAGAGCAGTTAGGAAACACTCTGTTTGTAAAGTCTGCAAGTGGATATTCAGACCTCTTTGAGGCCTTCGTTGGAAACGGGATTTCTTCATATTATGCTAGACAGATGAATTCTCAGTAACTTCCTTGTGTTGTGTGTATTCAACTCACAGAGTTGAACGATCCTTTACACAGAGCAGATTTGAAACACTCTTTTTCTGGAATTTGCAAGTGGAGATTTCAGCCGCTTTGAGGTCAATGGTAGAAAAGGAAATATCTTCGTATAAAAACTAGACAGAATGATTCTCAGAAACTCCTTTGTGATGTGTGCGTTCAACTCACAGAGTTTAACCTTTCTTTTCACAGAGCAGTTAGGAAACACTCTGTTTGTGAAGCCTGCCAGTGGATATTCGGACCTCTTTGAGGCCTTCGTTGGAAACGGGATTTCTTCATATTATGCTAGACAGATGAATTCTCAGTAACTTCCCTTGTGTTGTGTGTATTCAACTCACAGAGTTCAACCTTCCTTTAGACAGAGCAGATTTGAAACACTCTTTTTGTGGAATTTGCAAGTGGAGATTTCAAGCGCTTCGATGCCAATGGTAGAAAAGGAAATATCTTCGTATAAAAACAAGACAAACTCGTTCCCAGACACTGCGTAGTGATGTGTGTGTTTAACTCACAGAGTTTAACCTTTCTTTTCATACAGCATTCTGGAAACCCTCTGTTTGTAAAGTCTGCAAGTGGATATTTGGACCTCTTAGATGCCTTCGTTGGGAACGGGATTTCTTCATATAATGCTAGAGGGAAGAATTCTTAGTAACTTTTTTGTGTTGTGTGTATTCAACTGACAGAGTTGAACCTTCCTTTAGACAGAGCAGATTTGAAAGTCTCTTTTTGTGGAATTTGCAAGTGGAGATTTCAAGCGCTTTGAGGCCAAAAGCAGAAAAGGAAATATTTTCCTATAAAAACTAGACAGAATCTTTCTCAGAAACTGCTCTGGGATGTGTGCGTTCAACTCACAGAGTTTAACTATTCTTTCCATTCAGCAGTTTGGAAACACTCTGTTTGGAAAGTCTGCACGTGGATATTTTGACCTCTTTGAGGCCTTCGTTGGAAACGGGTTTTTTTCATGTAAGGCTAGACAGAAGAAATCTCAGTAACTTCCTTGTGTTGTGTGTATTCAACTGACAGAGTTGAACCTTCCTTTAGACAGAGCAGATTCGAAACACTCTTTTTCTGCAATTTGCAAGTGGAGACTTCAAGCGCTTTGAGGCCAAAGGCAGAAAAGGAAATATCTTCGTATAAAAACCCGACAGAATCATTCTCAGAAACTGCTCTGTGATGTGTGCGTTCAACTCACAGAGTTTAACTTTTCTTTTCATTCAGCAGTTTGGAAACACTCTGTTTGTAAAGTCTGCAAGTGGATATCTTGGCCTCTTAGAGGCCTTCGTTGGAAACGGGTTTTTTCATTTAAGGTTAGACAGAGGAATTCCCAGTAACTTCCTTGTGTTGTGTGCATTCAACTCACAGAGTTGAATGATTCTTTACACAGAGCAGATTTGAGACACTGTTGGTGGAATTTGTAAGTGGAGAATTCAGCCGCTTTGAGGTCAATGGTAGAAAAGGAAATATCTTCGTATAAAAACTAGACAGAATGATTCTCAGAAACTGTTTTGTGATGTGTGCGTTCAACTCACAGAGTTTAACCTTTCTTTTCAAAGAGCAGTTAGGAAACACTCTGTTTGTAAAGTCTGCAAGCGGATATTCAGACCTCTTTGAGGCCTTCGTTGGAAACGGGATTTCTTCATATTATGCTAGACAGATGAATTCTCAGTAACTTCCTTGTGTTGTGTGTATTCAACTCACAGAGTTGAACGATCCTTTACACAGAGCAGATTTGAAACACTGTTTTTCTGGAATTTGCAAGTGGAGATTTCAGCCGCTTTGAGGTCAATGGTAGAAAAGCAAATATCTTCGTATAAAAACTAGACAGAATGATTCTCAGAAACTCCTTTGTGATGTGTGCGTTCAACTCACAGAGTTTAACCTTTCTTTTCACAGAGCAGTTAGGAAACACTCTGTTTGTGAAGCCTGCCAGTGGATATTCGGACCTCTTTGAGGCCTTCGTTGGAAACGGGATTTCTTCATATTATGCTAGACAGAAGATTTCTCAGTAACTTCTTTGTGTTGTGTGTATGCAACTCACAGAGTTCAACCTTCCTTTAGACAGAGCAGATTTGAAACACTCTTTTTGTGGAATTTGCAAGTGGAGATTTCAAGCGCTTCGATGCCAATGGTAGAAAAGGAAATATCTTCGTAGAAAAACAAGACAAACTCGTTCCCAGACACTGCGTAGTGATGTGTGTGTTTAACTCACAGAGTTTAACCTTTCTTTTCATACAGCATTCTGGAAACCCTCTGTTTGTAAAGTCTGCAAGTGGATATTTGGACCTCTTAGATGCCTTCGTTGGAAACGGGATTTCTTCATATAATGCTAGAGGGAAGAATTCTTAGTAACTTCTTTGTGTTGTGTGTATTCAACTGACAGAGTTGAACCTTCCTTTAGACAGAGCAGATTTGAAAGTCTCTTTTTGTGGAATTTGCAAGTGGAGATTTCAAGCGCTTTGAGGCCAAAAGCAGAAAAGGAAATATTTTCCTATAAAAACTAGACAGAATCTTTCTCAGAAACTGCTCTGGGATGTGTGCGTTCAACTCACAGAGTTTAACTTTTCTTTTCATTCAGCAGTTTGGAAACACTCTGTTTGGAAAGTCTGCACGTGGATATTTTGACCTCTTTGAGGCCTTCGTTGGAAACGGGTTTTTTTCATGTAAGGCTAGACAGAAGAAATCTCAGTAACTTCCTTGTGTTGTGTGTATTCAACTGACAGAGTTGAACCTTCCTTTAGACAGAGCAGATTCGAAACACTCTTTTTCTGCAATTTGCAAGTGGAGACTTCAAGCGCTTTGAGGCCAAAGGCAGAAAAGGAAATATCTTCGTATAAAAACCCGACAGAATCATTCTCAGAAACTGCTCTGTGATGTGTGCGTTCAACTCACAGAGTTTAACTTTTCTTTTCATTCAGCAGTTTGGAAACACTCTGTTTGTAAAGTCTGCAAGTGGATATCTTGGCCTCTTAGAGGCCTTCGTTGGAAGCGGGTTTTTTCATGTAAGGATAGACAGAGGAATTCCCAGTAACTTCCTTGTGTTGTGTGCATTCAACTCACAGAGTTGAATGATTCTTTACACAGAGCACATTTGAGACACTCTTTTGGTGGAATTTGTAAGTGGAGAATTCAGCCGCTTTGAGGTCAACGATAGAAAAGCAAATATCTTCGTATAAAAACTAGACAGAATGATTCTCAGAAACTGTTTTGTGATGTGTGCGTTCAACTCACAGAGTTTAACCTTTCTTTTCAAAGAGCAGTTAGGAAACACTCTGTTTGTAAAGTCTGCAAGTGGATATTCAGACCTCTTTGAGGCCTTCGTTGGAAACGGGATTTCTTCATATTATGCTAGACAGATGAATTCTCAGTAACTTCCTTGTGTTGTGTGTATTCAACTCACAGAGTTGAACGATCCTTTACACAGAGCAGATTTGAAACACTGTTTTTCTGGAATTTGCAAGTGGAGATTTCAGCCGCTTTGAGGTCAATGGTAGAAAAGGAAATATCTTCGTATAAAAACTAGACAGAATGATTCTCAGAAACTCCTTTGTGATGTGTGCGTTCAACTCACAGAGTTTAACCTTTCTTTTCACAGAGCAGTTAGGAAACACTCTGTTTGTGAAGCCTGCCAGTGGATATTCGGACCTCTTTGAGGCCTTCGTTGGAAACGGGATTTCTTCATATTATGCTAGACAGAAGATTTCTCAGTAACTTCTTTGTGTTGTGTTTATGCAACTCACAGAGTTCAACCTTGCTTTAGACAGAGCAGATTTGAAACACTCTTTTTGTGGAATTTGCAAGTGGAGATTTCAAGCGCTTCGATGCCAATGGTAGAAAAGGAAATATCTTCGTATAAAAACAAGACAAACTCGTTCCCAGACACTGCGTAGTGATGTGTGTGTTTAACTCACAGAGTTTCACCTTTCTTTTCATACAGCATTCTGGAAACCCTCTGTTTGTAAAGTCTGCAAGTGGATATTTGCACCTCTTAGATGCCTTCGTTGCAAACGGGATTTCTTCATATAATGCTAGAGGGAAGAATTCTTAGTAACTTCTTTGTGTTGTGTGTATTCAACTGACAGAGTTGAACCTTCCTTTAGACAGAGCAGATTTGAAAGTCTCTTTTTGTGGAATTTGCAAGTGGAGATTTCAAGCGCTTTGAGGCCAAAAGCAGAAAAGGAAATATTTTCCTATAAAAACTAGACAGAATCTTTCTCAGAAACTGCTCTGGGATGTGTGCGTTCAACTCACAGAGTTTAACTTTTCTTTTCATTCAGCAGTTTGGAAACACTCTGTTTGGAAAGTCTGCACGTGGATATTTTGACCTCTTTGAGGCCTTCGTTGGAAACGGGTTTTTTTCATGTAAGGCTAGACAGAAGAAATCTCAGTAACTTCCTTGTGTTGTGTGTATTCAACTGACAGAGTTGAACCTTCCTTTAGACAGAGCAGATTCGAAACACTCTTTTTCTGCAATTTGCAAGTGGAGACTTCAAGCGCTTTGAGGCCAAAGGCAGAAAAGGAAATATCTTCGTATAAAAACCCGACAGAATCATTCTCAGAAACTGCTCTGTGATGTGTGCGTTCAACTCACAGAGTTTAACTTTTCTTTTCATTCAGCAGTTTGGAAACACTCTGTTTGTAAAGTCTGCAAGTGGATATCTTGGCCTCTTAGAGGCCTTCGTTGGAAACGGGTTTTTTCATGTAAGGTTAGACAGAGGAATTCCCAGTAACTTCCTTGTGTTGTGTGCATTCAACTCACAGAGTTGAATGATTCTTTACACAGAGCAGATTTGAGACACTCTTTTGGTGGAATTTGTAAGTGGAGAATTCAGCCGCTTTGAGGTCAACGGTAGAAAAGGAAATATCTTCGTATAAAAACTAGACAGAATGATTCTCAGAAACTGTTTTGTGATGTGTGCGTTCAACTCACAGAGTTTAACCTTTCTTTTCAAAGAGCAGTTAGGAAACACTCTGTTTGTAAAGTCTGCAAGTGGATATTCAGACCTCTTTGAGGCCTTCGTTGGAAACGGGATTTCTTCATATTATGCTAGACAGATGAATTCTCAGTAACTTCCTTGTGTTGTGTGTATTCAACTCACAGAGTTGAACGATCCTTTACACAGAGCAGATTTGAAACACTGTTTTTCTGGAATTTGCAAGTGGAGATTTCAGCCGCTTTGAGGTCAATGGTAGAAAAGGAAATATCTTCGTATAAAAACTAGACAGAATGATTCTCAGAAACTCCTTTGTGATGTGTGCGTTCAACTCACAGAGTTTAACCTTTCTTTTCACAGAGCAGTTAGGAAACACTCTGTTTGTGAAGCCTGCCAGTGGATATTCGGACCTCTTTGAGGCCTTCGTTGGAAACGGGATTTCTTCATATTATGCTAGACAGAAGATTTCTCAGTAACTTCTTTGTGTTGTGTGTATGCAACTTACAGAGTTCAACCTTCCTTTAGAGAGAGCATATTTGAAACACTCTTTTTGTGGAATTTGCAAGTGGAGATTTCAAGCGCTTCGATGCAAATGGTAGAAAAGGAAATATCTTCGTAGAAAAACAAGACAAACTCGTTCCCAGACACTGCGTAGTGATGTGTGTGTTTAACTCACAGAGTTTAACCTTTCTTTTCATACAGCATTCTGGAAACCCTGTGTTTGTAAAGTCTGCAAGTGGATATTTGGACCTCTTAGATGCCTTCGTTGGAAACGGGATTTCTTCATATAATGCTAGAGGGAAGAATTCTTAGTAACTTCTTTGTGTTGTGTGTATTCAACTGACAGAGTTGAACCTTCCTTTAGACAGAGCAGATTTGAAAGTCTCTTTTTGTGGAATTTGCAAGTGGAGATTTCAAGCGCTTTGAGGCCAAAAGCAGAAAAGGAAATATTTTCCTATAAAAACTCGACAGAATCTTTCTCAGAAACTGCTCTGGGATGTGTGCGTTCAACTCACAGAGTTTAACTTTTCTTTTCATTCAGCAGTTTGGAAACACTCTGTTTGGAAAGTCTGCACGTGGATATTTTGACCTCTTTGAGGCCTTCGTTGGAAACGGGTTTTTTTCATGTAAGGCTAGACAGAAGAAATCTCAGTAACTTCCTTGTGTTGTGTGTATTCAACTGACAGAGTTGAACCTTCCTTTAGACAGAGCAGATTCGAAACACTCTTTTTCTGCAATTTGCAAGTGGAGACTTCAAGCGCTTTGAGGCCAAAGGCAGAAAAGGAAATATCTTCGTATAAAAACCCGACAGAATCATTCTCAGAAACTGCTCTGTGATGTGTGCGTTCAACTCACAGAGTTTAACTTTTCTTTTCATTCAGCAGTTTGGAAACACTCTGTTTGTAAAGTCTGCAAGTGGATATCTTGGCCTCTTAGAGGCCTTAGTTGGAAACGGGTTTTTTCATGTAAGGATAGACAGAGGAATTCCCAGTAACTTCCTTGTGTTGTATGCATTCAACTCACAGTAGTTGAATGATTCTTTACACAGAGCAGATTTGAGACACTCTTTTGGTGGAATTTGTAAGTGGAGAATTCAGCCGCTTTGAGGTCAACGGTAGAAAAGGAAATATCTTCGTATAAAAACTAGAAAGAATGATTCTCAGAAACTGTTTTGTGATGTGTGCGTTCAACTCACAGAGTTTAACCTTTCTTTTCAAAGAGCAGTTAGGAAACACTCTGTTTGTAAAGTCTGCAAGTGGATATTCAGACCTCTTTGAGGCCTTCGTTGGAAACGGGATTTCTTCATATTATGCTAGACAGATGAATTCTCAGTAACTTCCTTGTGTTGTGTGTATTCAACTCACAGAGTTGAACGATCCTTTACACAGAGCAGATTTGAAACACTGTTTTTCTGGAATTTGCAAGTGGAGATTTCAGCCGCTTTGAGGTCAATGGTAGAAAAGGAAATATCTTCGTATAAAAACTAGACAGAATGATTCTCAGAAACTCCTTTGTGATGTGTGCGTTCAACTCACAGAGTTTAACCTTTCTTTTCACAGAGCAGTTAGGAAACACTCTGTTTGTGAAGCCTGCCAGTGGATATTCGGACCTCTTTGAGGCCTTCGTTGGAAACGGGATTTCTTCATATTATGCTAGACAGAAGATTTCTCAGTAACTTCTTTGTGTTGTGTGTATGCAACTCACAGAGTTCAACCTTCCTTTAGACAGAGCAGATTTGAAACACTCTTTTTGTGGAATTTGCAAGTGGAGATTTCAAGCGCTTCGATGCCAATGGTAGAAAAGGAAATATCTTCGTATAAAAACAAGACAAACTCGTTCCCAGACACTGCGTAGTGATGTGTGTGTTTAACTCACAGAGTTTAACCTTTCTTTTCATACAGCATTCTGGAAACCCTGTGTTTGTAAAGTCTGCAAGTGGATATTTGGACCTCTTAGATGCCTTCGTTGGAAACGGGATTTCTTCATATAATGCTAGAGGGAAGAATTCTTAGTAACTTCTTTGTGTTGTGTGTATTCAACTGACAGAGTTGAACCTTCCTTTAGACAGAGCAGATTTGAAAGTCTCTTTTTGTGGAATTTGCAAGTGGAGATTTCAAGCGCTTTGAGGCCAAAAGCAGAAAAGGAAATATTTTCCTATAAAAATTAGACAGAATCTTTCTCAGAAACTGCTCTGGGATGTGTGCGTTCAACTCACAGAGTTTAACTTTTCTTTTCATTCAGCAGTTTGGAAACACTCTGTTTGGAAAGTCTGCACGTGGATATTTTGACCTCTTTGAGGCCTTCGTTGGAAACGGGTTTTTTTCATGTAAGGCTAGACAGAAGAAATCTCAGTAACTTCCTTGTGTTGTGTGTATTCAACTGACAGTGTTGAACCTTCCTTTAGACAGAGCAGATTCGAAACACTCTTTTTCTGCAATTTGCAAGTGGAGACTTCAAGCGCTTTGAGGCCAAAGGCAGAAAAGGAAATATCTTCGTATAAAAACCCGACAGAATCATTCTCAGAAACTGCTCTGTGATGTGTGCGTTCAACTCACAGAGTTTAACTTTTCTTTTCATTCAGCAGTTTGGAAACACTCTGTTTGTAAAGTCTGCAAGTGGATATCTTGGCCTCTTAGAGGCCTTCGTTGGAAACGGGTTTTTTCATGTAAGGATAGACAGAGGAATTCCCAGTAACTTCCTTGTGTTGTGTGCATTCAACTCACAGAGTTGAATGATTCTTTACACAGAGCAGATTTGAGACACTCTTTTGGTGGAATTTGTAAGTGGAGAATTCAGCCGCTTTGAGGTCAACGGTAGAAAAGGAAATATCTTCGTATAAAAACTAGACAGAATGATTCTCAGAAACTGTTTTGTGATGTGTGCGTTCAACTCACAGAGTTTAACCTTTCTTTTCAAAGAGCAGTTAGGAAACACTCTGTTTGTAAAGTCTGCAAGTGGATATTCAGACCTCTTTGAGGCCTTCGTTGGAAACGGGATTTCTTCATATTATGCTAGACAGATGAATTCTCAGTAACTTCCTTGTGTTGTGTGTATTCAACTCACAGAGTTAAACGATCCTTTACACAGAGCAGATTTGAAACACTGTTTTTCTGGAATTTGCAAGTGGAGATTTCAGCCGCTTTGAGGTCAATGGTAGAAAAGGAAATATCTTCGTATAAAAACTAGACAGAATGATTCTCAGAAACTCCTTTGTGATGTGTGCGTTCAACTCACAGAGTTTAACCTTTCTTTTCACAGAGCAGTTAGGAAACACTCTGTTTGTGAAGCCTGCCAGTGGATATTCGGACCTCTTTGAGGCCTTCGTTGGAAACGGGATTTCTTCATATTATGCTAGACAGAAGATTTCTCAGTAAATTCTTTGTGTTGTGTGTATGCAACTCACAGAGTTCAACCTTCCTTTAGACAGAGCAGATTTGAAACACTCTTTTTGTGGAATTTGCAAGTGGAGATTTCAAGCGCTTCGATGCCAATGGTAGAAAAGGAAATATCTTCGTATAAAAACAAGACAAACTCGTTCCCAGACACTGCGTAGTGATGTGTGTGTTTAACTCACAGAGTTTAACCTTTCTTTTCATACAGCATTCTGGAAACCCTCTGTTTGTAAAGTCTGCAAGTGGATATTTGGACCTCTTAGATGCCTTCGTTGGGAACGGGATTTCTTCATATAATGCTAGAGGGAAGAATTCTTAGTAACTTCTTTGTGTTGTGTGTATTCAACTGACAGAGTTGAACCTTCCTTTAGACAGAGCAGATTTGAAAGTCTCTTTTTGTGGAATTTGCAAGTGGAGATTTCAAGCGCTTTGAGGCCAAAAGCAGAAAAGGAAGTATTTTCCTATAAAAACTCGACAGAATCTTTCTCAGAAACTGCTCTGGGATGTGTGCGTTCAACTCACAGAGTTTAACTTTTCTTTTCATTCAGCAGTTTGGAAACACTCTGTTTGGAAAGTCTGCACGTGGATATTTTGACCTCTTTGAGGCCTTCGTTGGAAACGGGTTTTTTTCATGTAAGGCTAGACAGAAGAAATCTCAGTAACTTCCTTGTGTTGTGTGTATTCAACTGACAGAGTTGAACCTTCCTTTAGACAGAGCAGATTCGAAACACTCTTTTTCTGCAATTTGCAAGTGGAGACTTCAAGCGCTTTGAGGCCAAAGGCAGAAAAGGAAATATCTTCGTATAAAAACCCGACAGAATCATTCTCAGAAACTGCTCTGTGATGTGTGCGTTCAACTCACAGAGTTTAACTTTTCTTTTCATTCAGCAGTTTGGAAACACTCTGTTTGTAAAGTCTGCAAGTGGATATCTTGGCCTCTTAGAGGCCTTCGTTGGAAACGGGTTTTATCATGTAAGGTTAGACAGAGGAATTCCCAGTAACTTCCTTGTGTTGTGTGCATTCAACTCACAGAGTTGAATGATTCTTTACACAGAGCAGTTTTGAGACACTCTTTTGGTGGAATTTGTAAGTGGAGAATTCAGCCGCTTTGATGTCAACGGTAGAAAAGGAAATATCTTCGTATAAAAACTAGACAGAATGATTCTCAGAAACTGTTTTGTGATGTGTGCGTTCAACTCACAGAGTTTAACCTTTCTTTTCAAAGAGCAGTTAGGAAACACTCTGTTTGTAAAGTCTGCAAGTGGATATTCAGACCTCTTTGAGGCCTTCGTTGGAAACGGGATTTCTTCATATTATGCTAGACAGATGAATTCTCAGTAACTTCCTTGTGTTGTGTGTATTCAACTCACAGAGTTGAACGATCCTTTACACAGAGCAGATTTGAAACACTGTTTTTCTGGAATTTGCAAGTGGAGATTTCAGCCGCTTTGAGGTCAATGGTAGAAAAGGAAATATCTTCGTATAAAAACTAGACAGAATGATTCTCAGAAACTCCTTTGTGATGTGTGCGTTCAACTCACAGAGTTTAACCTTTCTTTTCACAGAGCAGTTAGGAAACACTCTGTTTGTGAAGCCTGCCAGTGGATATTCGGACCTCTTTGAGGCCTTCGTTGGAAACGGGATTTCTTCATATTATGCTAGACAGAAGATTTCTCAGTAACTTCTTTGTGTTGTGTGTATGCAACTCACAGGAGTTCAACCTTCCTTTAGACAGAGCAGATTTGAAACACTCTTTTTGTGGAATTTGCAAGTGGAGATTTCAAGCGCTTCGATGCCAATGGTAGAAAAGGAAATATCTTCGTAGAAAAACAAGACAAACTCGTTCCCAGACACTGCGTAGTGATGTGTGTGTTTAACTCACAGAGTTTAACCTTTCTTTTCATACAGCATTCTGGAAACCCTGTGTTTGTAAAGTCTGCAAGTGGATATTTGGACCTCTTAGATGCCTTCGGTTGGAAACGGGATTTCTTCATATAATGCTAGAGGGAAGAATTCTTAGTAACTTCTTTGTGTTGTGTGTATTCAACTGACAGAGTTGAACCTTCCTTTAGACAGAGCAGATTTGAAAGTCTCTTTTTGTGGAATTTGCAAGTGGAGATTTCAAGCGCTTTGAGGCCAAAAGCAGAAAAGGAAATATTTTCCTATAAAAACTAGACAGAATCTTTCTCAGAAACTGCTCTGGGATGTGTGCGTTCAACTCACAGAGTTTAACTTTTCTTTTCATTTAGCAGTTTGGAAACACTCTGTTTGGAAAGTCTGCACGTGGATATTTTGACCTCTTTGAGGCCTTCGTTGGAAACGGGTTTTTTTCATGTAAGGCTAGACAGAAGAAATCTCAGTAACTTCCTTGTGTTGTGTGTATTCAACTGACAGAGTTGAACCTTCCTTTAGACAGAGCAGATTCGAAACACTCTTTTTCTGCAATTTGCAAGTGGAGACTTCAAGCGCTTTGAGGCCAAAGGCAGAAAAGGAAATATCTTCGTATAAAAACCCGACAGAATCATTCTCAGAAACTGCTCTGTGATGTGTGCGTTCAACTCACAGAGTTTAACTTTTCTTTTCATTCAGCAGTTTGGAAACACTCTGTTTGTAAAGTCTGCAAGTGGATATCTTGGCCTCTTAGAGGCCTTCGTTGGTAGAGGGTTTTTTCATGTAAGGTTAGACAGAGGAATTCCCACTAACTTCCTTGTGTTGTGTGCATTCAACTCACAGAGTTGAATGATTCTTTACACAGAGCAGATTTGAGACACTCTTTTGGTGGAATTTGTAAGTGGAGAATTCAGCCGCTTTGATGTCAACGGTAGAAAAGGAAATATCTTCGTATAAAAACTAGACAGAATGATTCTCAGAAACTGTTTTGTGATGTGTGCTTTCAACTCACAGAGTTTAACCTTTCTTTTCAAAGAGCAGTTAGGAAACACTCTGTTTGTAAAGTCTGCAAGTGGATATTCAGACCTCTTTGAGGCCTTCGTTGGAAACGGGATTTCTTCATATTATACTAGACAGATGAATTCTCAGTAACTTCCTTGTGTTGTGTGTATTCAACTCACAGAGTTGAACGATCCTTTACACAGAGCAGATTTGAAACACTGTTTTTCTGGAATTTGCAAGTGGAGATTTCAGCCGCTTTGAGGTCAATGGTAGAAAAGGAAATATCTTCGTATAAAAACTAGACAGAATGATTCTCAGAAACTCCTTTGTGATGTGTGCGTTCAACTCACAGAGTTTAACCTTTCTTTTCACAGAGCAGTTAGGAAACACTCTGTTTGTGAAGCCTGCCAGTGGATAATCGGACCTCTTTGAGGCCTTCGTTGGAAACGGGATTTCTTCATATTATGCTAGACAGAAGATTTCTCAGTAACTTCTTTGGGTTGTGTGTATGCAACTCACAGAGTTCAACCTTCCTTTAGACAGAGCAGATTTGAAACACTCTTTTTGTGGAATTTGCAAGTGGAGATTTCAAGCGCTTCGATGCCAATGGTAGAAAAGGAAATATCTTCGTATAAAAACAAGACAAACTCGTTCCCAGACACTGCGTAGTGATGTGTGTGTTTAACTCACAGAGTTTAACCTTTCTTTTCATACAGCATTCTGGAAACCCTGTGTTTGTAAAGTCTGCAAGTGGATATTTGGACCTCTTAGATGCCTTCGTTGGAAACGGGATTTCTTCATATAATGCTAGAGGGAAGAATTCTTAGTAACTTCTTTGTGTTGTGTGTATTCAACTGACAGAGTTGAACCTTCCTTTAGACAGAGCAGATTTGAAAGTCTCTTTCTGTGGAATTTGCAAGTGGAGATTTCAAGCGCTTTGAGGCCAAAAGCAGAAAAGGAAATATTTTCCTATAAAAACTCGACAGAAATCTTTCTCAGAAACTGCTCTGGGATGTGTGCGTTCAACTCACAGAGTATAACTTTTCTTTTCATTCAGCAGTTTGGAAACACTCTGTTTGGAAAGTCTGCACGTGGATATTTTGACCTCTTTGAGGCCTTCGTTGGAAACGGGTTTTTTTCATGTAAGGCTAGACAGAAGAAATCTCAGTAACTTCCTTGTGTTGTGTGTATTCAACTGACAGAGTTGAACCTTCCTTTAGACAGAGCAGATTCGAAACACTCTTTTTCTGCAATTTGCAAGTGGAGACTTCAAGCGCTTTGAGGCCAAAGGCAGAAAAGGAAATATCTTCGTATAAAAACCCGACAGAATCATTCTCAGAAACTGCTCTGTGATGTGTGCGTTCAACTCACAGAGTTTAACTTTTCTTTTCATTCAGCAGTTTGGAAACACTCTGTTTGTAAAGTCTGCAAGTGGATATCTTGGCCTCTTAGAGGCCTTCGTTGGAAACGGGTTTTTTCATGTAAGGTTAGACAGAGGAATTCCCAGTAACTTCCTTGTGTTGTGTGCATTCAACTCACAGAGTTGAATGATTCTTTACACAGAGCAGATTTGAGACACTCTTTTGGTGGAATTTGTAAGTGGAGAATTCAGCCGCTTTGAGGTCAACGGTAGAAAAGGAAATATCTTCGTATAAAAACTAGACAGAATGATTCTCAGAAACTGTTTTGTGATGTGTGCGTTCAACTCACAGAGTTTAACCTTTCTTTTCAAAGAGCAGTTAGGAAACACTCTGTTTGTAAAGTCTGCAAGTGGATATTCAGACCTCTTTGAGGCCTTCGTTGGAAACGGGATTTCTTCATATTATGCTAGACAGATGAATTCTCAGTAACTTCCTTGTGTTGTGTGTATTCAACTCACAGAGTTGAACGATCCTTTACACAGAGCAGATTTGAAACACTGTTTTTCTGGAATTTGCAAGTGGAGATTTCAGCCGCTTTGAGGTCAACGGTAGAAAAGGAAATATCTTCGTATAAAAACTAGACAGAATGATTCTCAGAAACTCCTTTGTGATGTGTGCGTTCAACTCACAGAGTTTAACCTTTGTTTTCACAGAGCAGTTAGGAAACACTCTGTTTGTGAAGCCTGCCAGTGGATATTCGGACCTCTTTGAGGCCTTCGTTGGAAACGGGATTTCTTCATATTATGCTAGACAGAAGATGTCTCAGTAACTTCTTTGTGTTGTGTGTATGCAACTCACAGAGTTCAACCTTCCTTTAGACAGAGCAGATTTGAAACACTCTTTTTGTGGAATTTGCAAGTGGAGATTTCAAGCGCTTCGATGCCAATGGTAGAAAAGGAAATATCTTCGTATAAAAACAAGACGAACTCGTTCCCAGACACTGCGTAGTGATGTGTGTGTTTAACTCACAGAGTTTAACCTTTCTTTTCATACAGCATTCTGGAAACCCTGTGTTTGTAAAGTCTGCAAGTGGATATTTGGACCTCTTAGATGCCTTCGTTGGAAACGGGATTTCTTCATATAATGCTAGAGGGAAGAATTCTTAGTAACTTCTTTGTGTTGTGTGTATTCAACTGACAGAGTTGAACCTTCCTTTAGACAGAGCAGATTTGAAAGTCTCTTTTTGTGGAATTTGCAAGTGGAGATTTCAAGCGCTTTGAGGCCAAAAGCAGAAAAGGAAATATTTTCCTATAAAAACTCGACAGAATCTTTCTCAGAAACTGCTCTGTGATGTGTGCGTTCAACTCACAGAGTTTAACTTTTCTTTTCATTCAGCAGTTTGGAAACACTCTGTTTGTAAAGTCTGCAAGTGGATATCTTGGCCTCTTAGAGGCCTTCGTTGGAAACGGGTTTTTTCATGTAAGGATAGACAGAGGAATTCCCAGTAACTTCCTTGTGTTGTGTGCATTCAACTCACAGAGTTGAATGATTCTTTACACAGAGCAGATTTGAGACACTCTTTTGGTGGAATTTGTAAGTGGAGAATTCAGCCGCTTTGAGGTCAACGGTAGAAAAGGAAATATCTACGTATAAAAACTAGACAGAATGATTCTCAGAAACTGTTTTGTGATGTGTGCGTTCAACTCACACAGTTTAACCTTTCTTTTCAGAGAGCAGTTAGGAAACACTCTGTTTGTAAAGTCTGCAAGTGGATATTCAGACCTCTTTGAGGCCTTCGTTGGAAACGGGATTTCTTCATATTATGCTAGACAGATGAATTCTCAGTAACTTCCTTGTGTTGTGTGTATTCAACTCACAGAGTTGAACGATCCTTTACACAGAGCAGATTTGAAACACTGTTTTTCTGGAATTTGCAAGTGGAGATTTCAGCCGATTTGAGGTCAATGGTAGAAAAGGAAATATCTTCGTATAAAAACTAGACAGAATGATTCTCAGAAACTCCTTTGTGATGTGTGCGTTCAACTCACAGAGTTTAACCTTTCTTTTCACAGAGCAGTTAGGAAACACTCTGTTTGTGAAGCCTGCCAGTGGATATTCGGACCTCTTTGAGGCCTTCGTTGGAAACGGGATTTCTTCATATTATGCTATTCAGAAGATTTCTCAGTAACTTCTTTGTGTTGTGTGTATGCAACTCACAGAGTTCAACCTTCCTTTAGACAGAGCAGATTTGAAACACTCTTTTTGTGGAATTTGCAAGTGGAGATTTCAAGCGCTTCGATGCCAATGGTAGAAAAGGAAATATCTTCGTATAAAAACAAGACAAACTCGTTCCCAGACACTGCGTAGTGATGTGTGTGTTTAACTCACTGAGTTTAACCTTTCTTTTCATACAGCATTCTGGAAACCCTCTGTTTGTAAAGTCTGCAAGTGGATATTTGGACCTCTTAGATGCCTTCGTTGGAAACGGGATTTCTTCGTATAATGCTAGAGGGAAGAATTCTTAGTAACTTCTTTGTGTTGTGTGTATTCAACTGACAGAGTTGAACCTTCCTTTAGACAGAGCAGATTTGAAAGTCTCTTTTTGTGGAATTTGCAAGTGGAGATTTCAAGCGCTTTGAGGCCAAAAGCAGAAAAGGAAATATTTTCCTATAAAAACTCGACAGAATCTTTCTCAGAAACTGCTCTGGGATGTGTGCGTTCAACTCACAGAGTTTAACTTTTCTTTCCATTCAGCAGTTTGGAAACACTCTGTTTGGAAAGTCTGCACGTGGATATTTTGACCTCTTTGAGGCCTTCGTTGGAAACGGGTTTTTTTCATGTAAGGCTAGACAGAAGAAATCTCAGTAACTTCCTTGTGTTGTGTGTATTCAACTGACAGAGTTGAACCTTCCTTTAGACAGAGCAGATTCGAAACACTCTTTTTCTGCAATTTGCAAGTGGAGACTTCAAGCGCTTTGAGGCCAAAGGCAGAAAAGGAAATATCTTCGTATAAAAACCCGACAGAATCATTCTCAGAAACTGCTCTGTGATGTGTGCGTTCAACTCACAGAGTTTAACTTTTCTTTTCATTCAGCAGTTTGGAAACACTCTGTTTGTAAAGTCTGCAAGTGGATATCTTGGCCTCTTAGAGGCCTTCGTTGGAAACGGGTTTTTTCATGTAAGGTTAGACAGAGGAATTCCCAGTAACTTCCTTGTGTTGTGTGCATTCAACTCACAGAGTTGAATGATTCTTTACACAGAGCAGATTTGAGACACTCTTTTGGTGGAATTTGTAAGTGGAGAATTCAGCCGCTTTGAGGTCAACGGTAGAAAAGGAAATATCTTCGTATAAAAACTAGACAGAATGATTCTCAGAAACTGTTTTGTGATGTGTGCGTTCAACTCACAGAGTTTAACCTTTCTTTTCAAAGAGCAGTTAGGAAACACTCTGTTTGTAAAGTCTGCAAGTGGATATTCAGACCTCTTTGAGGCCTTCGTTGGAAACGGGATTTCTTCATATTATGCTAGACAGATGAATTCTCAGTAACTTCCCTTGTGTTGTGTGTATTCAACTCACAGAGTTGAACGATCCTTTACACAGAGCAGATTTGAAACACTGTTTTTCTGGAATTTGCAAGTGGAGATTTCAGCCGCTTTGAGGTCAATGGTAGAAAAGGAAATATCTTCGTATAAAAACTAGACAGAATGATTCTCAGAAACTCCTTTGTGATGTGTGCGTTCAACTCACAGAGTTTAACCTTTCTTTTCACAGAGCAGTTAGGAAACACTCTGTTTGTGAAGCCTGCCAGTGGATATTCGGACCTCTTTGAGGCCTTCGTTGGAAACGGGATTTCTTCATATTATGCTAGACAGAAGATTTCTCAGTAACTTCTTTGTGTTGTGTGTATGCAACTCACAGAGTTCAACCTTCCTTTAGACAGAGCAGATTTGAAACACTCTTTTTGTGGAATTTGCAAGTGGAGATTTCAAGCGCTTCGATGCCAATGGTAGAAAAGGAAATATCTTCGTATAAAAACAAGACAAACTCGTTCCCAGACACTGCGTAGTGATGTGTGTGTTTAACTCACAGAGTTTCACCTTTCTTTTCATACAGCATTCTGGAAACCCTCTGTTTGTAAAGTCTGCAAGTGGATATTTGGACCTCTTAGATGCCTTCGTTGGAAACGGTATTTCTTCATATAATGCTAGAGGGAAGAATTCTTAGTAACTTCTTTGTGTTGTGTGTATTCAACTGACAGAGTTGAACCTTCCTTTAGACAGAGCAGATTTGAAAGTCTCTTTTTGTGGAATTTGCAAGTGGAGATTTCAAGCGCTTTGAGGCCAAAAGCAGAAAAGGAAATATTTTCCTATAAAAACTAGACAGAATCTTTCTCAGAAACTGCTCTGGGATGTGTGCGTTCAACTCACAGAGTTTAACTTTTCTTTTCATTCAGCAGTTTGGAAACACTCTGTTTGGAAAGTCTGCACGTGGATATTTTGACCTACTTTGAGGCCTTCGTTGGAAACGGGTTTTTTTCATGTAAGGCTAGACAGAAAGAAATCTCAGTAACTTCCTTGTGTTGTGTGTATTCAACTGACAGAGTTGAACCTTCCTTTAGACAGAGCAGATTCGAAACACTCTTTTTCTGCAATTTGCAAGTGGAAACTTCAAGCGCTTTGAGGCCAAAGGCAGAAAAGGAAATATCTTCGTATAAAAACCCGACAGAATCACTCTCAGAAACTGCTCTGTGATGTGTGCGTTCAACTCACAGAGTTTAACTTTTCTTTTCATTCAGCAGTTTGGAAACACTCTGTTTGTAAAGTCTGCAAGTGGATATCTTGGCCTCTTAGAGGCCTTCGTTGGAAACGGGTTTTTTCATGTAAGGTTAGACAGAGGAATTCCCAGTAACTTCCTTGTGTTGTGTGCATTCAACTCACAGAGTTGAATGATTCTTTACACAGAGCAGATTTGAGACACTCTTTTGGTGGAATTTGTAAGTAGAGAATTCAGCCGCTTTGAGGTCAACGGTAGAAAAGGAAATATCTTCGTATAAAAACTAGACAGAATGATTCTCAGAAACTGTTTTGTGATGTGTGCGTTCAACTCACAGAGTTTAACCTTTCTTTTCAAAGAGCAGTGAGGAAACACTCTGTTTGTAAAGTCTGCAAGTGGATATTCAGACCTCTTTGAGGCCTTCGTTGGAAACGGGATTTCTTCATATTATGCTAGACAGATGAATTCTCAGTAACTTCCTTGTGTTGTGTGTATTCAACTCACAGAGTTGAACGATCCTTTACACAGAGCAGATTTGAAACACTGTTTTTCTGGAATTTGCAAGTGGAGATTTCAGCCGCTTTGAGGTCAATGGTAGAAAAGGAAATATCTTCGTATAAAAACTAGACAGAATGATTCTCAGAAACTCCTTTGTGATGTGTGCGTTCAACTCACAGAGTTTAACCTTTCTTTTCACAGAGCAGTTAGGAAACACTCTGTTTGTGAAGCCTGCCAGTGGATATTCGGACCTCTTTGAGGCCTTCGTTGGAAACGGGATTTCTTCATATTATGCTAGACAGAAGATTTCTCAGTAACTTCTTTGTGTTGTGTGTATACAACTCACAGAGTTCAACCTTCCTTTAGACAGCGCAGATTTGAAACACTCTTTTTGTGGAATTTGCAAGTGGAGATTTCAAGCGCTTCAATGCCAATGGTAGAAAAGGAAATATCTTCGTATAAAAACAAGACAAACTCGTTCCCAGACACTGCGTAGTGATGTGTGTGTTTAACTCACAGAGTTTAACCTTTCTTTTCATACAGCATTCTGGAAACCCTCTGTTTGTAAAGTCTGCAAGTGGATATTTGGACCTCTTAGATGCCTTCGTTGGAAACGGGATTTCTTCATATAATGCTAGAGGGAAGAATTCTTAGTAACTTCTTTGTGTTGTGTGTATTCAACTGACAGAGTTGAACCTTCCTTTAGACAGAGCAGATTTGAAAGTCTCTTTTTGTGGAATTTGCAAGTGGAGATTTCAAGCGCTTTGAGGCCAAAAGCAGAAAAGGAAATATTTTCCTATAAAAACTAGACAGAATCATTCTCAGAAACTGCTCTGTGATGTGTGCGTTCAACTCACAGAGTTTAACTTTTCTTTTCATTCAGCAGTTTGGAAACACTCTGTTTGGAAAGTCTGCACGTGGATATTTTGACCTCTTTGAGGCCTTCGTTGGAAACGGGTTTTTTTCATGTAAGGCTAGACAGAAGAAATCTCAGTAACTTCCTTGTGTTGTGTGTATTCAACTGACAGAGTTGAACCTTCCTTTAGACAGAGCAGATTCGAAACACTCTTTTTCTGCAATTTGCAAGTGGAGACTTCAAGCGCTTTGAGGCCAAAGGCAGAAAAGGAAATATCTTCGTATAAAAACCCGACAGAATCATTCTCAGAAACTGCTCTGTGATGTGTGCGTTCAACTCACAGATTTTAACTTTTCTTTTCATTCAGCAGTTTGGAAACACTCTGTTTGTAAAGTCTGCAAGTGGATATCTTGGTCTCTTAGAGGCGTTCGTTGGAAACGCGTTTTTTCATGTAAGGTTAGACAGAGGAATTCCCAGTAACTTCCTTGTGTTGTGTGCATTCAACTCACAGAGTTGAATGATTCTTTACACAGAGCAGATTTGAGACACACTTTTGGTGGAATTTGTAAGTGGAGAATTCAGCCGCTTTGAGGTCAACGGTAGAAAAGGAAATATCTTCGTATAAAAACTAGAAAGAATGATTCTCAGAAACTGTTTTGTGATGTGTGCGTTCAACTCACAGAGTTTAACCTTTCTTTTCAAAGAGCAGTTAGGAAACACTCTGTTTGTAAAGTCTACAAGTGGATATTCAGACCTCTTTGAAGCCTTCGTTGGAAACGGGATTTCATCATATTATGCTAGACAGATGAATTCTCAGTAACTTCCTTGTGTTGTGTGTATTCAACTCACAGAGTTGAACGATCCTTTACACAGAGCAGATTTGAAACACTGTTTTTCTGGAATTTGCAAGTGGAGATTTCAGCCGCTTTGAGGTCAATGGTAGAAAAGGAAATATCTTCTGTATAAAAACTAGACAGAATGATTCTCAGAAACTCCTTTGTGATGTGTGCGTTCAACTCACAGAGTTTAACCTTTCTTTTCACAGAGCAGTTAGGAAACACTCTGTTTGTGAAGCCTGCCAGTGGATATTCGGACCTCTTTGAGGCCTTCGTTGGAAACGGGATTTCTTCATATTATGCTAGACAGAAGATTTCTCAGTAACTTCTTTGTGTTGTGTGTATGCAACTCACAGAGTTCAACCTTCCTTTAGACAGAGCAGATTTGAAACACTCTTTTTGTGGAATTTGCAAGTGGAGATTTCAAGCGCTTCGATGCCAATGGTAGAAAAGGAAATATCTTCGTATAAAAACAAGACAAACTCGTTCCCAGACACTGCGTAGTGATGTGTGTGTTTAACTCACAGAGTTTCACCTTTCTTTTCATACAGCATTCTGGAAACCCTCTGTTTGTAAAGTCTGCAAGTGGATATTTGGACCTCTTAGATGCCTTCGTTGGAAACGGGATTTCTTCATATAATGCTAGAGGGAAGAATTCTTAGTAACTTCTTTGTGTTGTGTGTATTCAACTGACAGAGTTGAACCTTCCTTTAGACAGAGCAGATTTGAAAGTCTCTTTTTGTGGAATTTGCAAGTGGAGATTTCAAGCGCTTTGAGGCCAAAAGCAGAAAAGGAAATATTTTCCTATAAAAACTCGACAGAATCTTTCTCAGAAACTGCTCTGGGATGTGTGCGTTCAACTCACAGAGTTTAACTTTTCTTTTCATTCAGCAGTTTGGAAACACTCTGTTTGGAAAGTCTGCACGTGGATATTTTGACCTCTTTGAGGCCTTCGTTGGAAACGGGTTTTTTTCATGTAAGGCTAGACAGAAGAAATCTCAGTAACTTCCTTGTGTTGTGTGTATTCAACTGACAGAGTTGAACCTTCCTTTAGACAGAGCAGATTCGAAACACTCTTTTTCTGCAATTTGCAAGTGGAGACTTCAAGCGCTTTGAGGCCAAAGGCAGAAAAGGAAATATCTTCGTATAAAAACCCGACAGAATCATTCTCAGAAACTGCTCTGTGATGTGTGCGTTCAACTCACAGAGTTTAACTTTTCTTTTCATTCAACAGTTTGGAAACACTCTGTTTGTAAAGTCTGCAAGTGGATATCTTGGCCTCTTAGAGGCCTTCGTTGGAAACGGGTTTTTTCATGTAAGGATAGACAGAGGAATTCCCAGTAACTTCCTTGTGTTGTGTGCATTCAACTCACAGAGTTGAATGATTCTTTACACAGAGCAGATTTGAGACACTCTTTTGGTGGAATTTGTAAGTGGAGAATTCAGCCGCTTTGAGGTCAACGGTAGAAAAGGAAATATCTTCGTATAAAAACTAGACAGAATGATTCTCAGAAACTGTTTTGTGATGTGTGCTTTCAACTCACAGAGTTTAACCTTTCTTTTCAAAGAGCAGTTAGGAAACACTCTGTTTGTAAAGTCTGCAAGTGGATATTCAGACCTCTTTGAGGCCTTCGTTGGAAACGGGATTTCTTCATATTATGCTAGACAGAAGATTTCTCAGTAACTTCTTTGTGTTGTGTGTATGCAACTCACAGAGTTCAACCTTCCTTTAGGCAGAGCAGATTTGAAACACTCTTTTTGTGGAATTTGCAAGTGGAGATTTCAAGCGCTTCGATGCCAATGGTAGAAAAGGAAATATCTTCGTATAAAAACAAGACAAACTCGTTCCCAGACACTGCGTAGTGATGTGTGTGTTTAACTCACAGAGTTTCACCTTTCTTTTCATACAGCATTCTGGAAACCCTCTGTTTGTAAAGTCTGCAAGTGGATATTTGGACCTCTTAGATGCCTTCGTTGGAAACGGGATTTCTTCATATAATGCTAGAGGGAAGAATTCTTAGTAACTTCTTTGTGTTGTGTGTATTCAACTGACAGAGTTGAACCTTCCTTTAGACAGAGCAGATTTGAAAGTCTCTTTTTGTGGAATTTGCAAGTGGAGATTTCAAGCGCTTTGAGGCCAAAAGCAGAAAAGGAAATATTTTCCTATAAAACCTCGACAGAATCTTTCTCAGAAACTGCTCTGGGATGTGTGCGTTCAACTCACAGAGTTTAACTTTTCTTTTCATTCAGCAGTTTGGAAACACTCTGTTTGGAAAGTCTGCACGTGGATATTTTGACCTCTTTGAGGCCTTCGTTGGAAACGGGTTTTTTTCATGTAAGGCTAGACAGAAGAAATCTCAGTAACTTCCTTGTGTTGTGTGTATTCAACTGACAGAGTTGAACCTTCCTTTAGACAGAGCAGATTCGAAACACTCTTTTTCTGCAATTTGCAAGTGGAGACTTCAAGCGCTTTGAGGCCAAAGGCAGAAAAGGAAATATCTTCGTATAAAAACCCGACAGAATCATTCTCAGAAACTGCTCTGTGATGTGTGCGTTCAACTCACAGAGTTTAACTTTTCTTTTCATTCAGCAGTTTGGAAACACTCTGTTTGTAAAGTCTGCAAGTGGATATCTTGGCCTCTTAGAGGCCTTCGTTGGAAGCGGGTTTTTTCATGTAAGGATAGACAGAGGAATTCCCAGTAACTTCCTTGTGTTGTGTGCATTCAACTCACAGAGTTGAATGATTCTTTACACAGAGCAGATTTGAGACACTCTTTTGGTGGAATTTGTAAGTGGAGAATTCAGCCGCTTTGAGGTCAACGGTAGAAAAGGAAATATCTTCGTATAAAAACTAGACAGAATGATTCTCAGAAACTGTTTTGTGATGTGTGCGTTCAACTCACAGAGTTTAACCTTTCTTTTCAAAGAGCAGTTAGGAAACACTCTGTTTGTAAAGTCTGCAAGTGGATATTCAGACCTCTTTGAGGCCTTCGTTGGAAACGGGATTTCTTCATATTATGCTAGACAGATGAATTCTCAGTAACTTCCTTGTGTTGTGTGTATTCAACTCACAGAGTTAAACGATCCTTTACACAGCAGCAGGATTTGAAACACTGTTTTTCTGGAATTTGCAAGTGGAGATTTCAGCCGCTTTGAGGTCAATGGTAGAAAAGGAAATATCTTCGTATAAAAACTAGACAGAATGATTCTCAGAAACTCCTTTGTGATGTGTGCGTTCAACTCACAGAGTTTAACCTTTCTTTTCACAGAGCAGTTAGGAAACACTCTGTTTGTGAAGCCTGCCAGTGGATATTCGGACCTCTTTGAGGCCTTCGTTGGAAACGGGATTTCTTCATATTATACTAGACAGAAGATTTCTCAGTAACTTCTTTGTGTTGTGTGTATGCAACTCACAGAGTTCAACCTTCCTTTAGACAGAGCAGATTTGAAACACTCTTTTTGTGGAATTTGCAAGTGGAGATTTCAAGCGCTTTGAGGCCAAAAGCAGAAAAGGAAATATTTTCCTATAAAAACTAGACAGAATCTTTCTCAGAAACTGCTCTGTGATGTGTGCGTTCAACTCACAGAGTTTAACTTTTCTTTTCATTCAGCAGTTTGGAAACACTCTGTTTGTAAAGTCTGCAAGTGGATATCTTGGCCTCTTAGAGGCCTTCGTTGGAAACGGGTTTTTTCATGTAAGGATAGACAGAGGAATTCCCAGTAACTTCCTTGTGTTGTGTGCATTCAACTCACAGAGTTGAATGATTCTTTACACAGAGCAGATTTGAGACACTCTTTTGGTGGAATTTGTAAGTGGAGAATTCAGCCGCTTTGAGGTCAAAGGTAGAAAAGGAAATATCTTCGTATAAAAACTAGACAGAATGATTCTCAGAAACTGTTTTGTGATGTGTGCGTTCAACTCACAGAGTTTAACCTTTCTTTTCAAAGAGCAGTTAGGAAACACTCTGTTTGTAAAGTCTGCAAGTGGATATTCAGACCTCTTTGAGGCCTTCGTTGGAAACGGGATTTCTTCATATTATGCTAGACAGATGAATTCTCAGTAACTTCCTTGTGTTGTGTGTATTCAACTCACAGAGTTGAACGATCCTTTACACAGAGCAGATTTGAAACACTGTTTTTCTGGAATTTGCAAGTGGAGATTTCAGCCGCTTTGAGGTCAATGGTAGAAAAGGAAATATCTTCGTATAAAAACTAGACAGAATGATTCTCAGAAACTCCTTTGTGATGTGTGCGTTCAACTCACAGAGTTTAACCTTTCTTTTCACAGAGCAGTTAGGAAACACTCTGTTTGTGAAGCCTGCCAGTGGATATTCGGACCTCTTTGAGGCCTTCGTTGGAAACGGGATTTCTTCATATTATGCTAGACAGAAGATTTCTCAGTAACTTCTTTGTGTTGTGTGTATGCAACTCACAGAGTTCAACCTTCCTTTAGACAGAGCAGATTTGAAACACTCTTTTTGTGGAATTTGCAAGTGGAGATTTCAAGCGCTTCGATGCCAATGGTAGAAAAGGAAATATCTTCGTATAAAAACAAGACAAACTCGTTCCCAGACACTGCGTAGTGATGTGTGTGTTTAACTCACAGAGTTTAACCTTTCTTTTCATACGGCATTCTGGAAACCCTCTGTTTCTAAAGTCTGCAAGTGCATATTTGGACCTCTTAGATGCCTTCGTTGGAAACGGGATTTCTTCATATAATGCTAGAGGGAAGAATTCTTAGTAACTTCTTTGTGTTGTGTGTATTCAACTGACAGAGTTGAACCTTCCTTTAGACAGAGCAGATTTGAAAGTCTCTTTTTGTGGAATTTGCAAGTGGAGATTTCAAGCGCTTTGAGGCCAAAAGCAGAAAAGGAAATATTTTCCTATAAAAACTAGACAGAAATCATTCTCAGAAACTGCTCTGTGATGTGTGTGTTCAACTCACAGAGTTTAACTTTCTTTTCATTCAGCAGTTTGGAAACACTCTGTTTGGAAAGTCTGCACGTGGATATTTTGACCTGTTTGAGGCCTTCGTTGGAAACGGGTTTTTTTCATGTAAGGCTAGACAGAAGAAATCTCAGTAACTTCCTTGTGTTGTGTGTATTCAACTGACAGAGTTGAACCTTCCTTTAGACAGAGCAGATTCGAAACGCTCTTTTTCTGCAATTTGCAAGTGGAGACTTCAAGCGCTTTGAGGCCAAAGGCAGAAAAGGAAATATCTTCGTATAAAAACCCGACAGAATCATTCTCAGAAACTGCTCTGTGATGTGTGCGTTCAACTCACAGAGTTTAACTTTTCTTTTCATTCAGCAGTTTGGAAACACTCTGTTTGTAAAGTCTGCAAGTGGATATCTTGGCCTCTTAGAGGCCTTCGTTGGAAACGCGTTTTTTCATGTAAGGTTAGACAGAGGAATTCCCAGTAACTTCCTTGTGTTGTGTGCATTCAACTCACAGAGTTGAATGATTCTTTACACAGAGCTGATTTGAGACACACTTTTGGTGGAATTTGTAAGTGGAGAATTCAGCCGCTTTGAGGTCAACGGTAGAAAAGGAAATATCTTCGTATAAAAACTAGAAAGAATGATTCTCAGAAACTGTTTTGTGATGTGTGCGTTCAACTCAAAGAGTTTAACCTTTGTTTTCAAAGAGCAGTTAGGAAACACTCTGTTTGTAAAGTCTGCAAGTGGATATTCAGACCTCTTTGAAGCCTTCGTTGGAAACGGGATTTCATCATATTATGCTAGACAGATGAATTCTCAGTAACTTCCTTGTGTTGTGTGTATTCAACTCACAGAGTTGAACGATCCTTTACACAGAGCAGATTTGAAACACTGTTTTTCTGGAATTTGCAAGTGGAGATTTCAGCCGCTTTGAGGTCAATGGTAGAAAAGGAAATATCTTCGTATAAAAACTGGACAGAATGATTCTCAGAAACTCCTTTGTGATGTGTGCGTTCAACTCACAGAGTTTAACCTTTCTTTTCACAGAGCAGTTAGGAAACACTCTGTTTGTGAAGCCTGCCAGTGGATATTCGGACCTCTTTGAGGCCTTCGTTGGAAACGGGATTTCTTCATATTTTGCTAGACAGAAGATTTCTCAGTAACTTCTTTGTGTTGTGTGTATGCAACTCACAGAGTTCAACCTTCCTTTAGACAGAGCAGATTTGAAACACTCTTTTTGTGGAATTTGCAAGTGGAAATTTCAAGCGCATCGATGCCAATGGTAGAAAAGGAAATATCTTCGTATAAAAACAAGACAAACTCGTTCCCAGACACTGCGTAGTGATGTGTGTGTTTAACTCACAGAGTTTAACCTTTCTTTTCATACAGCATTCTGGAAACCCTCTGTTTGTAAAGTCTGCAAGTGGATATTTGGACCTCTTAGATGCCTTCGTTGGGAACGGGATTTCTTCATATAATGCTAGAGGGAAGAATTCTTAGTAACTTCTTTGTGTTGTGTGTATTCAACTGACAGAGTTGAACCTTCCTTTAGACAGAGCAGATTTGAAAGTCTCTTTTTGTGGAATTTGCAAGTGGAGATTTCAAGCGCTTTGAGGCCAAAAGCAGAAAAGGAAATATTTTCCTATAAAAACTAGACAGAATCTTTCTCAGAAACTGCTCTGGGATGTGTGCGTTCAACTCACAGAGTTTAACTTTTCTTTTCATTCAGCAGTTTGGAAACACTCTGTTTGGAAAGTCTGCACGTGGATATTTTGACCTCTTTGAGGCCTTCGTTGGAAACGGGTTTTTTTCATGTAAGGCTAGACAGAAGAAATCTCAGTAACTTCCTTGTGTTGTGTGTATTCAACTGACAGAGTTGAACCTTCCTTTAGACAGAGCAGATTCGAAACACTCTTTTTCTGCAATTTGCAAGTGGAGACTTCAAGCGCTTTGAGGCCAAAGGCAGAAAAGGAAATATCTTCGTATAAAAACCCGACAGAATCATTCTCAGAAACTGCTCTGTGATGTGTGCGTTCAACTCACAGAGTTTAACTTTTCTTTTCATTCAGCAGTTTGGAAACACTCTGTTTGTAAAGTCTGCAAGTGGATATCTTGGCCTCTTAGAGGCCTTCGTTGGAAACGGGTTTTTTCATGTAAGGTTAGACAGAGGAATTCCCAGTAACTTCCTTGTGTTGTGTGCATTCAACTCACAGAGTTGAATGATTCTTTACACAGAGCAGATTTGAGACACTCTTTTGGTGGAATTTGTAAGTGGAGAATTCAGCCGCTTTGAGGTCAACGGTAGAAAAGGAAATATCTTCGTATAAAAACTAGACAGAATGATTCTCAGAAACTGTTTTGTGATGTGTGCTTTCAACTCACAGAGTTTAACCTTTCTTTTCAAAGAGCAGTTAGGAAACACTCTGTTTGTAAAGTCTGCAAGTGGATATTCAGACCTCTTTGAGGCCTTCGTTGGAAACGGGATTTCTTCATATTATGCTAGACAGATGAATTCTCAGTAACTTCCCTTGTGTTGTGTGTATTCAACTCACAGAGTTGAACGATCCTTTACACAGAGCAGATTTGAAACACTGTTTTTCTGGAATTTGCAAGTGGAGATTTCAGCCGCTTTGAGGTCAATGGTAGAAAAGGAAATATCTTCGTATAAAAACTAGACAGAATGATTCTCAGAAACTCCTTTGTGATGTGTGCGTTCAACTCACAGAGTTTAACCTTTCTTTTCACAGAGCAGTTAGGAAACACTCTGTGAAGTCTGCCAGTGGATATTCGGACCTCTTTGAGGACTTCGTTGGAAACGGGATTTCTTCATATTATGCTAGACAGATTTCTCAGTAACTACTTTGTGTTGTGTGTATGCAGCTCACAGAGTTCATCCTTCCTTTAGACAGAGCAGATTTGAAACACTCTTTTTGTGGAATTTGCAAGTGGAGATTTCAAGCGCTTCGATGCCAATGGTCGAAAAGGAAATATCTTCGTATAAAAACAAGACAAAACTCG
Organism: Homo sapiens; assembly: GCF_000001405.40. Taxonomy (NCBI): domain Eukaryota; kingdom Metazoa; phylum Chordata; class Mammalia; order Primates; family Hominidae; genus Homo; species Homo sapiens. The sequence goes on from NC_000016.10 coordinate 36,495,980, forward strand.
TTCCCAGCACACTGCGTAGTGATGTGTGTGTTTAACTCACAGAGTTTAACCTTTCTTTTCATACAGCATTCTGGAAACCCTCTGTTTGTAAAGTCTGCAAGTGGTTATTTGGACCTCTTAGATGCCTTCGTTGGAAACGGGATTTCTTCATATAATGCTAGAGGGAAGAATTCTTAGTAACATCTTTGTGTTGTGTGTATTCAACTGACAGAGTTGAACCTTCCTTTACACAGAGCAGATTTGAAACACTCTTTTTGTGGAATTTGCAAGTGGAGATTTCAGTCGCTTTGAGGCCAAAAGCAGAAAAGGAAATATTTTCCTATAAAAACTAGATAGAATCATTCTCAGAAACTGCTCTGTGATGTGTGCGTTCAACTCACAGAGTTTAACTTTTCTTTTCATTCAGCAGTTTGGAAACACTGTTTGGAAAGTCTGCACGTGGATATATTGGCCTCTTAGAGGCCTTCGTTGGAAACGGGTTTTTTTCATGTAAGGCTAGACAGAAGAAATCTCAGTAACTTCCTTGTGTTGTGTGTATTCAACTGACAGAGTTGAACCTTCCTTTAGACAGAGCAGATTCGAAACACTCTTTTTCTGCAATTTGCAAGTGGAGACTTCAAGCGCTTTGAGGCCAAAGGCAGAAAAGGAAATATCTTCGTATAAAAACCCGACAGAATCATTCTCAGAAACTGCTCTGTGATGTGTGCGTTCAACTCACAGAGTTTAACTTTTCTTTTCATTCAGCAGTTTGGAAACACTCTGTTTGTAAAGTCTGCAAGTGGATATCTTGGCCTCTTAGAGGCCTTCGTTGGAAACGGGTTTTTTCATGTAAGGTTAGACAGAGGAATTCCCACTAACTTCCTTGTGTTGTGTGCATTCAACTCACAGAGTTGAATGATTCTTTACACAGAGCAGATTTGAGACACTCTTTTGGTGGAATTTGTAAGTGGAGAATTCAGCCGCTTTGAGGTCAACGGTAGAAAAGGAAATATCTTCGTATAAAAACTAGACAGAATGATTCTCAGAAACTGTTTTGTGATGTGTGCGTTCAACTCACAGAGTTTAACCTTTCTTTTCAAAGAGCAGTTAGGAAACACTCTGTTTGTAAAGTCTGCAAGTGGATATTCAGACCTCTTTGAGGCCTTCGTTGGAAACGGGATTTCTTCATATTATGCTAGACAGATGAATTCTCAGTAACTTCCTTGTGTTGTGTGTATTCAACTCACAGAGTTGAACGATCCTTTACACAGAGCAGATTTGAAACACTGTTTTTCTGGAATTTGCAAGTGGAGATTTCAGCCGCTTTGAGGTCAATGGTAGAAAAGGAAATATCTTCGTATAAAAACTAGACAGAATGATTCTCAGAAACTCCTTTGTGATGTGTGCGTTCAACTCACAGAGTTTAACCTTTCTTTTCACAGAGCAGTTAGGAAACACTCTGTTTGTGAAGCCTGCCAGTGGATATTCGGACCTCTTTGAGGCCTTCGTTGGAAACGGGATTTCTTCATATTATGCTAGACAGAAGATTTCTCAGTAACTTCTTTGTGTTGTGTATATGCAACTCACAGAGTTCAACCTTCCTTTAGACAGAGCAGATTTGAAACACTCTTTTTGTGGAATTTGCAAGTGGAGATTTCAAGCGCTTCGATGCCAATGGTAGAAAAGGAAATATCTTCGTATAAAAACAAGACAAACTCGTTCCCAGACACTGCGTAGTGATGTGTGTGTTTAACTCACAGAGTTTCACCTTTCTTTTCATACAGCATTCTGGAAACCCTGTGTTTGTAAAGTCTGCAAGTGGATATTTGGACCTCTTAGATGCCTTCGTTGGAAACGGGATTTCTTCATATAATGCTAGAGGGAAGAATTCTTAGTAACTTCTTTGTGTTGTGTGTATTCAACTGACAGAGTTGAACCTTCCTTTAGACAGAGCAGATTTGAAAGTCTCTTTTTGTGGAATTTGCAAGTGGAGATTTCAAGCGCTTTGAGGCCGAAAGCAGAAAAGGAAATATTTTCCTATAAAAACTCGACAGAATCATTCTCAGAAACTGCTCTGTGATGTGTGCGTTCAACTCACAGAGTTTAACTTTTCTTTTCATTCAGCAGTTTGGAAACACTCTGTTTGTAAAGTCTGCCGTGGATATTTTGACCTCTTTGAGGCCTTCGTTGGAAACGGGTTTTTTTCATGTAAGGCTAGATAGAAGAAATCTCAGTAACTTCCTTGTGTTGTGTGTATTCAACTGACAGAGTTGAACCTTCCTTTAGACAGAGCAGATTCGAAACACTCTTTTTCTGCAATTTGCAAGTGGAGACTTCAAGCGCTTTGAGGCCAAAGGCAGAAAAGGAAATATCTTCGTATAAAAACCCGACAGAATCATTCTCAGAAACTGCTCTGTGATGTGTGCGTTCAACTCACAGAGTTTAACTTTTCTTTTCATTCAGCAGTTTGGAAACACTCTGTTTGTAAAGTCTGCAAGTGGATATCTTGGCCTCTTAGAGGCCTTCGTTGGAAACGGGTTTTTTCATGTAAGGATAGACACAGGAATTCCCAGTAACTTCCTTGTGTTGTGTGCATTCAACTCACAGAGTTGAATGATTCTTTACACAGAGCAGTTTTGAGACACTCTTTTGGTGGAATTTGTAAGTGGAGAATTCAGCCGCTTTGAGGTCAACGGTAGAAAAGGAAATATCTTCGTATAAAAACTAGACAGAATGATTCTCAGAAACTGTTTTGTGATGTGTGCGTTCAACTCACAGAGTTTAACCTTTCTTTTCAAAGAGCAGTTAGGAAACACTCTGTTTGTAAAGTCTGCAAGAGGATATTCAGACCTCTTTGAGGCCTTCGTTGGAAACGGGATTTCTTCATATTATGCTAGACAGATGAATTCTCAGTAACTTCCTTGTGTTGTGTGTATTCAACTCACAGAGTTGAACGATCCTTTACACAGAGCAGATTTGAAACACTGTTTTTCTGGAATTTGCAAGTGGAGATTTCAGCCGCTTTGAGGTCAATGGTAGAAAAGGAAATATCTTCGTATAAAAACTAGACAGAATGATTCTCAGAAACTCCTTTGTGATGTGTGCGTTCAACTCACAGAGTTTAACCTTTCTTTTCACAGAGCAGTTAGGAAACACTCTGTTTGTGAAGCCTGCCAGTGGATATTCGGACCTCTTTGAGGCCTTCGTTGGAAACGGGATTTCTTCATATTATGCTAGACAGAAGATTTCTCAGTAACTTCTTTGTGTTGTGTGTATGCAACTCACAGAGTTCAACCTTCCTTTAGACAGAGCAGATTTGAAACACTCTTTTTGTGGAATTTGCAAGTGGAGATTTCAAGCGCTTCGATGCCAATGGTAGAAAAGGAAATATCTTCGTATAAAAACAAGACAATCTCGTTCCCAGACACTGCGTAGTGATGTGTGTGTTTAACTCACAGAGTTTAACCTTTCTTTTCATACAGCATTCTGGAAACCCTGTGTTTGTAAAGTCTGCAAGTGGATATTTGGACCTCTTAGATGCCTTCGTTGGAAACGGGATTTCTTCATATAATGCTAGAGGGAAGAATTCTTAGTAACTTCTTTGTGTTGTGTGTATTCAACTGACAGAGTTGAACCTTCCTTTAGACAGAGCAGATTTGAAAGTCTCTTTTTGTGGAATTTGCAAGTGGAGATTTCAAGCGCTTTGAGGCCAAAAGCAGAAAAGGAAATATTTTCCTATAAAAACTCGACAGAATCTTTCTCAGAAACTGCTCTGGGATGTGTGCGTTCAACTCACAGAGTTTAACTTTTCTTTTCATTCAGCAGTTTGGAAACACTCTGTTTGGAAAGTCTGCACGTGGATATTTTGACCTCTTTGAGGCCTTCGTTGGAAACGGGTTTTTTTCATGTAAGGCTAGACAGAAGAAATCTCAGTAACTTCCTTGTGTTGTGTGTATTCAACTGACAGAGTTGAACCTTCCTTTAGACAGAGCAGATTCGAAACACTCTTTTTCTGCAATTTGCAAGTGGAGACTTCAAGCGCTTTGAGGCCAAAGGCAGAAAAGGAAATATCTTCGTATAAAAACCCGACAGAATCATTCTCAGAAACTGCTCTGTGATGTGTGCGTTCAACTCACAGAGTTTAACTTTTCTTTTCATTCAGCAGTTTGGAAACACTCTGTTTGTAAAGTCTGCAAGTGGATATCTTGGCCTCTTAGAGGCCTTCGTTGGAAACGGGTTTTTTCATGTAAGGTTAGACAGAGGAATTCCCACTAACTTCCTTGTGTTGTGTGCATTCAACTCACAGAGTTGAATGATTCTTTACACAGAGCAGATTTGAGACACTCTTTTGGTGGAATTTGTAAGTGGAGAATTCAGCCGCTTTGATGTCAACGGTAGAAAAGGAAATATCTTCGTATAAAAACTAGACAGAATGATTCTCAGAAACTGTTTTGTGATGTGTGCTTTCAACTCACAGAGTTTAACCTTTCTTTTCAAAGAGCAGTTAGGAAACACTCTGTTTGTAAAGTCTGCAAGTGGATATTCAGACCTCTTTGAGGCCTTCGTTGGAAACGGGATTTCTTCATATTATGCTAGACAGATGAATTCTCAGTAACTTCCTTGTGTTGTGTGTATTCAACTCACAGAGTTGAACGATCCTTTACACAGAGCAGATTTGAAACACTGTTTTTCTGGAATTTGCAAGTGGAGATTTCAGCCGCTTTGAGGTCAATGGTAGAAAAGGAAATATCTTCGTATAAAAACTAGACAGAATGATTCTCAGAAACTCCTTTGTGATGTGTGCGTTCAACTCACAGAGTTTAACCTTTCTTTTCACAGAGCAGTTAGGAAACACTCTGTTTGTGAAGCCTGCCAGTGGATATTCGGACCTCTTTGAGGCCTTCGTTGGAAACGGGATTTCTTCATATTATGCTAGACAGAAGATTTCTCAGTAACTTCTTTGTGTTGTGTGTATGCAACTCACAGAGTTCAACCTTCCTTTAGACAGAGCAGATTTGAAACACTCTTTTTGTGGAATTTGCAAGTGGAGATTTCAAGCGCTTCGATGCCAATGGTAGAAAAGGAAATATCTTCGTATAAAAACAAGACAAACTCGTTCCCAGACACTGCGTAGTGATGTGTGTGTTTAACTCACAGAGTTTCACCTTTCTTTTCATACAGCATTCTGGAAACCCTCTGTTTGTAAAGTCTGCAAGTGGATATTTGGACCTCTTAGATGCCTTCGTTGGAAACGGGATTTCTTCATATAATGCTAGAGGGAAGAATTCTTAGTAACTTCTTTGTGTTGTGTGTATTCAACTGACAGAGTTGAACCTTCCTTTAGACAGAGCAGATTTGAAAGTCTCTTTTTGTGGAATTTGCAAGTGGAGATTTCAAGCGCTTTGAGGCCAAAAGCAGAAAAGGAAATATTTTCCTATAAAAACTAGACAGAATCTTTCTCAGAAACTGCTCTGGGATGTGTGCGTTCAACTCACAGAGTTTAACTTTTCTTTTCATTCAGCAGTTTGGAAACACTCTGTTTGGAAAGTCTGCACGTGGATATTTTGACCTCTTTGAGGCCTTCCTTGGAAACGGGTTTTTTTCATGTAAGGCTAGACAGAAGAAATCTCTGTAACTTCCTTGTGTTGTGTGTATTCAACTGACAGAGTTGAACCTTCCTTTAGACAGAGCAGATTCGAAACACTCTTTTTCTGCAATTTGCAAGTGGAGACTTCAAGCGCTTTGAGGCCAAAGGCAGAAAAGGAAATATCTTCGTATAAAAACCCGACAGAATCATTCTCAGAAACTGCTCTGTGATGTGTGCGTTCAACTCACAGAGTTTAACTTTTCTTTTCATTCAGCAGTTTGGAAACACTCTGTTTGTAAAGTCTGCAAGTGGATATCTTGGCCTCTTAGAGGCCTTCGTTGGAAACGGGTTTTTTCATGTAAGGTTAGACAGAGGAATTCCCAGTAACTTCCTTGTGTTGTGTGCATTCAACTCACAGAGTTGAATGATTCTTTACACAGAGCAGATTTGAGACACTCTTTTGGTGGAATTTGTAAGTGGAGAATTCAGCCGCTTTGAGGTCAACGGTAGAAAAGGAAATATCTTCGTATAAAAACTAGACAGAATGATTCTCAGAAACTGTTTTGTGATGTGTGCGTTCAACTCACAGAGTTTAACCTTTCTTTTCAAAGAGCAGTTAGGAAACACTCTGTTTGTAAAGTCTGCAAGTGGATATTCAGACCTCTTTGAGGCCTTCGTTGGAAACGGGATTTCTTCATATTATGCTAGACAGATGAATTCTCAGTAACTTCCTTGTGTTGTGTGTATTCAACTCACAGAGTTGAACGATCCTTTACACAGAGCAGATTTGAAACACTGTTTTTCTGGAATTTGCAAGTGGAGATTTCAGCCGCTTTGAGGTCAATGGTAGAAAAGGAAATATCTTCGTATAAAAACTAGACAGAATGATTCTCAGAAACTCCTTTGTGATGTGTGCGTTCAACTCACAGAGTTTAACCTTTCTTTTCACAGAGCAGTTAGGAAACACTCTGTTTGTGAAGCCTGCCAGTGGATATTCGGACCTCTTTCAGGCCTTCGTTGGAAACGGGATTTCTTCATATTATGCTAGACAAAAGATTTCTCAGTAACTTCTTTGTGTTGTGTATATGCAACTCACAGAGTTCAACCTTCCTTTAGACAGAGCAGATTTGAAACACTCTTTTTGTGGAATTTGCAAGTGGAGATTTCAAGCGCTTCGATGCCAATGGTAGAAAAGGAAATATCTTCGTATAAAAACAAGACAAACTCGTTCCCAGACACTGCGTAGTGATGTGTGTGTTTAACTCACAGAGTTTAACCTTTCTTTTCATACAGCATTCTGGAAACCCTCTGTTTGTAAAGTCTGCAAGTGGATATTTGGACCTCTTAGATGCCTTCGTTGGAAACGGGATTTCTTCATATAATGCTAGAGGGAAGAATTCTTAGTAACTTCTTTGTGTTGTGTGTATTCAACTGACAGAGTTGAACCTTCCTTTAGACAGAGCAGATTTGAAAGTCTCTTTTTGTGGAATTTGCAAGTGGAGATTTCAAGCGCTTTGAGGCCAAAAGCAGAAAAGGAAATATTTTCCTATAAAAACTCGACAGAATCTTTCTCAGAAACTGCTCTGGGATGTGTGCGTTCAACTCACAGAGTTTAACTTTTCTTTTCATTCAGCAGTTTGGAAACACTCTGTTTGGAAAGTCTGCACGTGGATATTTTGACCTCTTTGAGGCCTTCGTTGGAAACGGGTTTTTTTCATGTAAGGCTAGACAGAAGAAATCTCAGTAACTTCCTTGTGTTGTGTGTATTCAACTGACAGAGTTGAACCTTCCTTTAGACAGAGCAGATTCGAAACACTCTTTTTCTGCAATTTGCAAGTGGAGACTTCAAGCGCTTTGAGGCCAAAGGCAGAAAAGGAAATATCTTCGTATAAAAACCCGACAGAATCATTCTCAGAAACTGCTCTGTGATGTGTGCGTTCAACTCACAGAGTTTAACTTTTCTTTTCATTCAGCAGTTTGG